>NT_187660.1:786808-1080195 GCF_000001405.40 Homo sapiens | reverse complement strand
GAATTCAAGGCCAGCCTGGCCAACACGGTGAAACCCCATCTCTACTAAAAATACAAAAATTAGTCAGGCGTAGTGGTGAGCACCTATAATCCCAGCTACTTGGGAGGCTGAGGCACAAGAATCACCTGAAGCCAGGAGACGAAGGTTGCAGTGAGCTGAGATCTCACCACTGCACTCCAGCCTGGGCGACAGAGTAAGACTCAGTCTGGAAAAACAAAAAAAAAAAAGCCGAAAAATTATGACCGCATTAAAATATATTAGGTATCGTTGGCTTACAGTTCAAACTTGTTTCAGTCTAAGTAATTAAAAGTCAAAAATTCTATCCTAAAAAAGCAGTCTTTTATACTTTTGATTGTTACAGCATCTCTAACGAGTCAGAAACAATACACAAAATAGGTATTTTTTTCTTTTTTGCTCTCTTTCAACAGAATCAATAATTATAATTTCACATCATCTAGGCAAAATGTCAACAGAAGATAGATGATCTAAGTCTTCATTACAGAATCTTCATCTGCTCTCGGTTTTGTAGCACACTAACGATTCCTCAGTTATTTCATTTACATGATGGGGAAGGGAGGTACATATCCCTACCTACTATGTAAAGAAAAAAGGCAAATGAAATGATGGAATACAATGAACTCCTCAGAAAAGAAGCTCTGTAAAATCTCAGACTGCCTGTTTATCATATGCTAGAGTAAACTTACATTCCTTTCTTGTTCAAGAAAAATGATGGTAAAATCCATGCATTAATCAAAACTAAAAACATGAAAAGGCAAGCCAACCACGAGAGAAATACAGCTGGCCCCTGAACAACACAGATTTGAACTACGTGAGTCCATGTATATGTGGACTTTCACCTCTTTCACCTTTGCCACCTCTAAGACAGCAAGACCAACCCTCCTTCCTCCTCTTCTTCAGCCTACTCAAACATGAAATAGACAAGGACGAAGACCTTTATGATGATCCACTTCCATTTAATCATAGTAAATATATTTTCTCTTCCTTATGATTTTCTTAATAGCATTTTTTCTCTAGCTTATTTATTATAAGAATATACTATACAATACATATACAAAATATGTGTTAATTGACTGTTTATGTTATCAGTAAGGCTTCTGGTCAACAGCAGGCTATTAGTAGTTAAGTTTTGGGGACTCAGAAGTTATATGCAGATTTGGCTGTGCAGGGGGGTCAGCACCCATAACCCCTATGTTGTTCAGGGTCAACTATATTCTCAATCGTATGTATCTGACAAAGGACTTGCCTCCAAAATAGGTAAAGAACTCTTTAAATATTAAGAAAACTCAGTTTTAAAAACTGAGAAAAAGATTTCAATAGACACTTTACAGAAAAGATATGAATGGCTAGTAAGCACATGAAAAGCTGTTCAGTATCATTAGTAATTAGGAGAATGCAAATTAAATCACAGTGAGATTCTGCTACACACACACGAAAGCAGCTAAAACTAAAAAGACTGACGGTACCAAGTATTGGTGAGGATGCAGAACAACTGTATTTCTCAAACAGTGCAGATAGGATATAAAATGGAACAACCACTTTGGAAAACAACCTGGCAATTTCATGTAAAATTAAATATGCTAACCACACAACCTAACAATTCCACTCCTAAGTATTTACCCAAGAGAACTAAAATATGTCCACATGAAGCTTTATACACGAATGTTCATAGAAACTGAAATGTCCATTAACAGGTGAAAGAGTTAACAAACTGCTCTATAACCATAAAATGGAATACTACTCCATAACCATAAAATGGAATACTGCTCAGCCACAGAAAAGACTCAAACTGATACACATAATATAGATGAATCTCAAAAACAGTAACTAAGTGAAAAAAAGCAAAACACATTCTAAGTATATACTGTACATACTGTAAGTACTGTATATGTATATGCTAGAATGATTACATGTATTTTAAATTGTATAAAAAGTAAAACTAAACTTAAGACAGGGAGCAGATCAATAGTGGCCAGGGGCCAGGAGAAGAAGGACTGGGAAAGGGGCATGAGAGAATTTTTTTAGGGTAACAGTAATGTTCTCTATCTTAATCATAGTGCCGGTTACATGGGTACATACATTTATCAAAACTAACTAAATAGCCAGGCATGGTGGCTCATGCCTGTAATCCCAGCACTTTGGGAGGTCAAGGCAAGAGGATCACTTGAGCCCAGGAGTTCAAGACCAGGAGCCCAGGAGTTCAAGACCAGCCTGGGCAACAAAGCGAGATCTCGTCTCTATAAAAAAATGAAAAAATTAGCCAGGTGCGGTGGCTTGCACCTGTGGCCTCAGCTACACAGGAGGCTGAGGCAGGAGGATCACCTGAGCCCAGAAGGTTGAGATTGCAGTGAGCCATGTTTAATGTTTACACCACTGCACTCCAGCCTGGTGACAATAAGACCCTGTCCCAAAAAACAAAACAAAACAAACAAAAAAATATATATATACACACACATAAACATATATATACATATAATAATAATTGAACTGTGTACTTAGAATAGGTGTATTTTGTGTGTGCAAAATATACCTAAAAATTTTTTAAACCAATGAATTATTTTCTTAGTATCCAATCCATCAGAAACAAAAATTGGTTCAGAACACTAAACGTACCATGTATCTGAGTTCATTTCTACTTCTCATTTCCCCCAAATAAATATCTCTTAAAATACAAATTTTTAGTCAAACATCCTCACCTTGTTTCTATAATTTCTTCCAACTATATTTGCTAGAGCTTCACAAATACAGTGTCCACCAAAAATAGTTGTGTGTGTCTACATTTTCTATTTTATATACTCTTGACATTTAGCTCTAAGCTCAGAAACTAAAATGTTCACAAACTAAAGAACAACCAAACGGAAAACTTTAGGCTCTAAAATTAAGCTCTACCTACCCATTTGCCAAAGTGGTGGCTTCTCTCATCTGAGCAATTGATCTGTTAACAAATCGGCTTTCCTCTGATCACAGGCAGCCAAAGACTGCCACACTGACACAGGCACCATCTCCTCAAACAGATCTAAGATTAGGAAGAGAAATTACAACAAAATTTTAAGACAAAAACCCGAACTGTAAAAGTGACTGTTCATATTTTCTTTTCAATATTCACATAGTCCATACATATTTGATATTTAAAGATCAAAATATCAATAGTCTATTGACATTTAAAGATCAAAACTAAATCACTATTTAAAGCACAATGATAAAGAGAATTTTTAGATCACTACATTCACCGACAATGGTGACAATGAAAAGTTTCTTCTTTGAACTTAATTTTCTTTAACTTTTTCAGATGTGTTCATCACTGAGTTTGAGGGATCTTTAGTGACGCTGTTCATTTGTTGATTAAACTGAATGAGGGGCCGGGAGCAGTGGCTAAGGCCTGTAATCCCAGCACTTTGGGAGGCTGAGGCAGGTGCCTCACCTGAGGTCATGAGTTCAAGACCAGTCTGGCCAACTTGGAGAAACCCCATCTCTACTAAAAATACAAAAATTAGCCAGTGTAATGGTAGGAGCCTGTAGTCCCAGCTACTGGGGAGGCTGAGACAGAAGAATCGTCTGAACCCAGGAGGCGGAGGTTGCAGTGAGCCGAGATTGCACCACTGCACTGCAGCCTGGGCAATAGAGCAAGACTCGGTCTCAAAAAAAAAAAAAAAATTGACTGAGTGGGTCACGGCAGCAGGATTCCATTTCTGGCTCCAACACTTCCTAGCTATGTGACCTTGAGGAAATTACTTAACCACTCTGTGCATCAGTATCCTCATCAAACAGGGCTAACAACAGTACCCATCTCAGGGCACTTGTGAAAACTAATGAGCCAATATTTGTAAAGTGCTTAAAGAGTACCTGGCACATGGTAAACACTTTGTGTTTGCTAAATAAACACATAATCACCCTTTCCCAGTAACAGGATATTCTCCTTGGGATCTCAGCTAGAGGCTACCATCTGCTGTATACATCTACTTATACTTCCCTTCAACCTAAATAATTATACCTTTTAACCATATTGACAATAATATGGAAATATCACTCAAGAAGAACCTAACAGACCATGGAATTATAATAATTTAAACCATCCTTTTATCAAATGACATGGTCAGAACTGGAGAGGAAAGAGGGATACTAGTAACTTTTAAGTCCTCTACTAAGGTTTTTTTAATAAAAAGACTTCCAACCCACTAGAAAATATGCTTACATTTGCACATACTCCAGAAAAACTAAACATAAATAAATTCCCCACTATGAATGTGTTATAGTGTTGATGTCCTGTGTTACAGTACATGCGTGTCATGAGCTGTCAGGAAATGTGTACACCATGCAGGAGGCTGGACCCTGAGTGAGAATGACTGCCAGTAAAAACTGCCTGGCAATGGGAATGGCCAAAGAACTTTTGTCAATTGGTATGTCTAAGATTCAACTTTAAGCTGATTTCTATAGTGAGGTACAATCCTTCATTATTCTAACACTTAGGTAATGAACACATGAAAGAGAAAGAAAGAGAGAAGAGCAAGATTTAGAATCTTGATGAGAATCTGGTTTTTTGTTTGTTTTGTTTTGAGACGGAGTCTCGCTCTGTCGCCCAGGCTGGAATGCAGTGGCGCGATCTCGGCTCACTGCAAGCTCCACTTCCTGGGTTCATGCCATTCTCCTGCCTCAGCCTCCCAAGTAGCTGGGACTACAGGCACCCACCACCACACCTGGCTAATTTTTTGTATTTTTAGTAGAGACGGGGTTTCACCGTGTTAGCCAGGATGGTCTCGATCTCCTGACCTCATGATCTGCCCGTCTCAGCCTCCCAAAGTGCTGGGATTACAGGTGTGAGCCACCGTGCCAGGCCGAGAATCTTAAAAATTATGTAACTTAAGTTTCTTCCTCATTCTTTTCCAGATTCTGAATAAAGGGGTGGGTTTGAGAGATGGAAAAAAACTTAAAATCAAAAGGTAGTCTTTGAAATTAAACACCATCATACCAGCCTGTGATTTTCCAAACATAGAAAAATCTTTTTAGCCTACTTCCTTCATTACCAAGAGCAAAACAAACCAAAACAGTAGATGCTAAGGTATAAACCTGATGCCACAAATGATACAGATCCAAACAAACACAAATACACACACACACACACACAGATTCAAAAATCACAACACTATAAATCCTAGGACCAATGAATCTAATTAAATCCCTTTTGTGTAATATCCCTATTAATATAGGACTAGAAGACATTGTACACTCAAAAATCCAAAAGTCTAAATTGCTTTCACATAGTCAAAAACACAGGATTTCCACTAACTCCACCACACTACCATATGTGGCTTTAGGTAGCTCAAAACTGAATTCCAAAATGAAGTATATTTTTGAGAGTAACAACTCCCAGAGAAAAACAAGGGCACACATATAGAGTTCCATGCTCCTCAGGAACTGCTAGGTCTGATCTTGGACCCTCTCTTCTACTAGGTTCGGCCTGGATGAATGTATCTGATGAGACCCACATACCTTATCAAGAAATGGCTGGAAAAGGCTAAAATCGTTTCTCATGTTCCCATTACTACAAAGTAAAAGCATGACAAGCTCTATACTTAAGTGTTTTGACTTGGTCAAACGCTAACACCGGGTTTGCTACAGTGTAAAATTAATCTAGAATGTAATCATTGATTCCATTTTCTTTTTATTCTTAAAAAAAAAAAGGGTGGTTGGGGAAGAAATCACTGCTTTTCCATTGCGCAGGTACTTTGTGCTAGAGAGCATGTGTCATTTCTAGGGTCTCAGAAAAAGAACAGATGTATCTATGTGTAAACACAAACAGTAAGTTACAAGTTGCCCCTTAGTACTGAAGGCAAGAATCAGCATCAGTACTCAAAAAAGTGTTTTAAAAAGAGTGTAACTTACTCTTACTGACCCAGGCTAAACGGGCTCTGTCTGGTGCTTCTTTGTCTGCACATGGCCACCCACAGCCTGTCTTCTAATTAAACCAATGCTCTAGCAGCAGAACAAGCAAACAAGTTGCCTCCCATCTGCATACAGCTCTTAAGGATACATTTCCCTTGTTCAGAAGGTGGAAATTCTTGGGAGAGGTGATTTTCTCTGCCTCTTCACAAGAAGAACATGGATACTTGGCTGGATGCAACTCCATGAAGCGTAACTGTGTGTGTACACCTCAAAAAATAAAAAATGCAGAGAAACATAAAGACTCCATAAACAGCTGGAATACACAGAAATACTGAAGCACCACTGGGAATACTGCTAAACAGACAGGCAAAATAGGATCTTTGAAATCATCAATAATACCAAGTTAAGAAAAAAAAAAAGGAAAAAAGAGCACCTAAGGTCAAAACTCCAATTTCATGCAATGAAAACATTGTAAGTACTACAAAAGAAAAAAGGTAAATATTCTACTTCACATACATAGAAACACATCCCACTCCCCTTACAGAGAATAAAAGATATTATCAATGGAAAAGAAAAATGAGATTTTCAAGGGTGGTAGGTCTAAAATTAGACTCACCAGCCACATTATAGTTAATGAGCACTTACGTAAATGTGAGCTAAATGCATCAAGCTGTCGTTCCAGTGTGGTCAGCTCTACTGGGGGGCAGGGGGTGCTGGGGAAAGAGCAAGGGACCACTCTGCTTATGAAAATATAATTTCTACAAAAATAAAAACGTACAGGAAATGAGATGCTCGTTTATTTAAATAATTTTAAACTTCCCAAATCACAGAAATGACCTTAAAGTAGATGCCCCTCCTTTTTTGCAATAAAAACCAAATGACTGAAGTAGGGTAGGGAGCAGGGTGTGGTTAAGCATCTGCTCACAAGAAAACTTGTTATAAGTTTGGTGAGGGAAAAGGGAAATGTATCAGCTCTTCCCAATGTCCCCTTCCATCCTAGGTATGCCCATATGCCATCAGGAAGCCACACCATCTCCATGACCACTAGGCATTTCAAGGACTGGCAGGCCGTAGAAGTTTCTTCTATCCCCCTGAGGCACACAGACAATTCCAGCCGGAAGTATAAAGCCCAGGGGAGAGAATATGGCCTATTCCTGCAGCTGCGCAAGAGGCCTGCGCTGGGGTCCACTCACAATGAACTACTCAAGTGTGACCAACATTCCCATTCTGGAGATCCCTGCCTTAAAGAAATGCAGACCTGGCTGGGCACGGTGGCTCACACCTGTCACCCCAGCACTTTGGGAGGCCAAGGCAGATGGATCACTTGAGGCCAGGAGCTTGAGGCCAGCCTGGGCAACGTGGCAAAACCCCGTCTCTACTAAAAACACAAAAAAAATTAGCCAGGTGTGGTGGCGCACACCTGTAGTCCCAACTACTCAGGAGGCTGAGGCATGAAAATCGTTTGAACCTGGGAGGTAGAGATTGCAGTGAGCCGAGATCATACCACTGCACTCCAGCCTGGGCGACAGAGCAAGAATCTGTCTCAACAACAACAAAGATACAGACAAATGTATAACAGTATTATATATAATATAAATATATAATGAAAATACCTACTTTCTTTCTCTTACATACCAAAATATCAGTCATCTGAACAAGTTATTCTTAAAGGACTTCCCTAGAGTTTACAAGCAAGCAATATTTGTATTACACAGAGATCCAAAGACGACGAACTGTTTTTAACAGAATGACTAAAAACTTGGCCCAATATAATCTGCCCTATAAACGCTAAAGCATTTGGACAAGAAACGAGTTTTAACCATGAATTAGCATCTCCCCTGACCATAGGGAGCTTTAAAGCATGAATTAAGTGAATAAAAAACTTCACAGTCCATTTTTAATAACAGAAGTTCAACAAAAGATTTTTAACAAAGGAACCTGTATAATTTGCCTTTTACTACATAAAACGTAAAAGCTATTCCTATCACTATTCTTTTTTTTTTTTTTCTTTTAGACGGAGTCTCAGTCCGTAGCCCAAGCTGGAGTGCAGTGGTGCAGTCTCAGTGCAGTCTCAGCTCACTGCAACCTCTGCCTCCTGGGTCCCAGTTCAAGCAATTCTTCTGCCTCAGCCTCTCAACTAGCTGGGATTACAGGAACGCGCCACCATGCCCAGCTAATTTTTGTATTTTTATTAGAGATGGGGTTTCACCATATTGGCCAGGCTGGTCTTGATCTCCTGACCTCGTGATGCGTCCGCTTCGGCCTCCCAAAGTGCTGGGATTACAGGCGTGAGCCACTGTGCCCAGCCCCTATCACTATTCTTAATACACGGTATTCTACCTACCAAAATAATCAGTTTTCAGAATGAATTAACCAAAATTTCTCAAAGGTTACAACAAGATCTTCAAAACCTCTGCGAAATTCATCAGTTTTCTCACAAAAGATTATAAATTACCTTCCAAAAGTCTGTCATTCATATTGCACCTATTATTACTCATTAGACTTTTTTAAACCAGGTCTTTGTACTTTTTAAGAAAAACACCATTGTGCAAAAGGAGCTTCAGGCAGTATTTTATAGATAGTTCATTTTCTATCAGAATCCATGAAACACTTTCTATTTTAGAAACAATCCTAAGAAAATGGTAGCATCATGACTCACCCAGTTCTATATCCACTTTTCTCAAAAAAGAAATTCACATTAGAAGTTTTACCATTTGAAATATGCAAAATTATGGTCTGGAATCTTAAATCCACTGTCACTACTTGATCCAAAACTATTTCAAAAGCAGCCAAAAAAGCAACTGGCATCCAAATGTATAGTCCCAAATATGAAGACCAAATTCTTTCACAATATTAATCTTCTCTGCTGTGAGTGAAACCAGAGTTGTACCATCCAGTGAACAGAATTCACTTTCTCATCAGTTATTAAGATAATCTCAAAAAAGCTATACGAAACAACAGGAATGAATCAACTTACCAATAAATCATTAAAATATGATCTATAAACTGACCTTTCCATTTCCTTCCCTACATTTTGAAGATAAACAAAATATACTTTGGAGTAATATCATTTGCATTTCCACACTGCAGAAAACCTCTCATACAGAAGCAGCCACCTTCCCTCCCAAAACTCTAAAGGGAGAAGGTGGTCAATTTAATAGATAGGAACTTTTGCACCTGCTCCTCCTTTACTTAAATGAAGAAAACACCTCATTCTGTTGTCCAGAAGTGACAGTCTTAAGATGACATCACTTGTCTGTAGCGGTGGTAAAGAAAAATAAAACGACACAAAATTATCAGTCTCTAAGAAAAGCTAAAAAATGATATGTCTGCATAATTCCCTTTAGTGTGTGTGGAACACACTACTACACACACACACACACACACACACACATATTTCTTTTGCCTTGTCTCTTCCTCCTTCACTGCATGGAGTTAAGATCAGTATACTTTTCACTATTTGGGAAAATACAAATTATCACATTTTTAAAATATACAGCCAGATACTCTTTCTAGGCAATAAAGACCATTAAAACATTTCAGTCATTTCAATCCACAATTAGTATTTAAGGAATTCATATCAATTTTAATATCTGCCTAAGTAATAATATAACGGGCAAGTTTTAAAAATATGTTTATGTATTGTTTCCTTAAGCTCAGTGGCAAGAACATCATTTTTTAAATCAAAAAGTATATCCCAAAGTCTAAAGAGAAGAGAACAATGACTGTTTGCATCTGTTCAATAATCCAGACATGACTTAACTGAATAGACTGACCAAAACTAAGATAAGTATTTATTCTCAAATTAAACATAATGCATTATTAATAAGGCTCTCCAGAATTTTTCTCAGCACTTTTCAGTATTCTGAAAGGACTCAATACTGCTACTTATATTTTTCTAAGTACAAAAATATTAGAATCCAATCTTCTTACGTCTTTCCATTGACCCAAGCTATTACAATACTTCCCCAACTGAAGTCCATCTGAAAACCTATCCTGTTTTAAGGTAATGAATCACAATTATTCAAGGTGAGAGAAACTGCAGGGGGCAGTATAAGCATGATTTCCAACATAATTCTTAAGATTTAGGAAAATTCTTCCTGTTAGTGTAAGCTTAACCTTAAACTATTAACATGTATTTCAATCAAAGAGTCCATAGAAAAGTTAATTGTTAAAGATAATTGAAATTCTTCCACAAATTTAATAATCAAAAGTTGAGGCCAGGCACAGTGGCTCTCACCTGTAATCGCAGCACTTTGGGAGGCCGAGGTAGGTGGATCACCTGAGCTCAGGAGTTCAAGACCACCCTGGTCAACATGGTGAAACCCCATCTCTACTAAAAAAAAAAAAAAATACAAAAATTAGCTGGGTGTGGTGGTGCATGCCTGTAGTCCCAGCTACATGGGAAGCTGAGGCACAAGAATCACTTCAGCCTGGGAGGCAGAGGTTGCAGTGAGCCAAGATCGCACCACTGCACTCCAGCTTGGGCTACAGAGTGAGAATCCATCTCAAAAATATATATATATATAAAATAAAATAACTAAAAGTTGAGGTGTGGGATGCTCTAAAGTCACTTGGGGAAGAATTCTATGCTACCATTATCCTTATGACTTATTCCAATCAAAAATAATAGAACAAGAAATTTTTTTCCTTTAAATTCATATCCACACTCTTAAAAAAACACAAGTTATCCAAAACTATAAGTCCACTTACTCAGGAGAAACTCATTATTTCAAAATGTATTCTTATCATTTTTAAGTATAAATAAGTAAATCCCTTAAAAGTCAGATTCAACACTAGGGGAAAATAGAATGAAATATTAAACATGATATATAAGTATGACTTAGGAAAATTAAAGTTATTCTAAGATAAAAAGAGAAACTTAATTTTATTCAGTTTTGCATTCATGGTTGCCATTCTAGTATATTCTCCAGCTACTCAATAACCTTCTTTCCCAAACCTATGCTGATTCCATGCAAGTAATTTCCAACTAACAATTGAATTAGTTAAGTTAGATGAAGCCCTCTTTGTGTGTCTGTTTTGAGTAAAGGTAACATTTGGTGGTAAATACATCTATCTTCTTTCTTATGTCATTTTTCTCCTCTGATCCTCAACATATAATTAAACTTTCTTTGATGCTGTAAAACTTGTCATTAATAGTTACCATAAATATTCATCTCATACATACCACTTCCAAAGCACCTCATAACTGTAATAATTGCTAACAGTTATGGGTGCTTACTACGTACCACACACTGTTCTAAGAGACTGTCCTGTATTAGTCATATATGAACTCAGTTAATCTTCACAACTCTGTGAAGTGGGAATTATTATCCTCATAAATAGGGAAACTGAGTCAAGGACAGACTGTGCCACACCCATGGACACATGGCTAATGACTGGTAGAGCTGGCATGAAATGTATCAGTCATATTAGGAGGGCATCACACATCCCCATGTAAGATTCAATAGAACTAGGTGCTCACCATATTCTTTCACCTTCCTTGACTACATTAGGACCAATCTGACATTACCAAGAGAAATTAAAATCTACAAAGCATGATCAAAAGCTCAGGTCCACAATTAAGCATGAGAATATACAGAAAACACGGCTAGGACTTTTGGTAAACACCTGGGCAATTTTCACAAGGAAAGGCATGAAAGGGTGCGTGCCCTGGTATGAGCGCCTGAATACAAGGGCCACAACCCAGTCAACCTGGAAATGTCGCCTTTAACTATCATCTCCTCCCTCAAACTCATCATTGTTTCGTCATCATGTCTTACTTGATTCCCTAAGGAGTATTCTCAACCAGAAAAATATTTTTCACGATAATCCTCTCAACTGATAGATACAAATCTATCTTCTCCAAGTTCGAGCAGCAAGTCAATCTTCTGAAGACCTCAATATCCCCTGCACAAATTCATCAAGGGTCCAAATCAAGAGAACTGAGAGGACCTCACTCTAGAGTATAAAAAATTATGGCAAACGTGAGAGCCTCCCCACTCAATTATTCGATGTCCACAGTAAACTGGGGACAAACCTAACCATAACACTGGGACAAGGCACACTTCACAGCACACAATTTCAGGGTATATATCTAACTGTTAGGTTCGTGAAGAATCTTCCCCTTCTACTTTAGGCACTTCTAGACAGTTGGAATTTATTTTTAAACAACAGAACATACATCACTTTTTGGGGGTTAACTTCAAGGATTTTCCTACTGAAAATGAGAAACTTCAGTATCCAGTCACTAACTTTTGTATTCATGAATCTCACAAAAAAAAAAAAATCAAGAAAAGGAAGGAATTTAACCAACTTTCATATTACTCAGAAAAGTCACCAATGAAAACAACAATATCATAGGCTTCTTCATAACTGTGCTAATATTGGTGGGCAACACTGGTCATATAATTTATGGTTGACTAACTCAACAGTTTCATGTCATTTAAGAACAATAAAGATAAACTCACAAGTATTTTCAATAAAACAGAGAAAAGAAATACCTCAAGTTCCACCAGTGCTGCAGTGACTGCGTCAGTTGCAAGAGCACCCGCCTGCAGCTTTTCAATTGCCTATGAAACCAAGGGGAGAGATTATTCATTGCAAAATCACAACTTCCCAAACTTTCCAAAAGCTTAAAGAAGTATGGGAGACACTTAGATTAATAAAAATTGACCACTAGTTCCATTCCATACTTTAAGACATAAACTACTCAGATTAAAAACAAGCAAGTGTTTATATTCAGGTTAATTGGTAATATGGCTCACTTAATATTATTCAAATTAAAACAATAACATCTAGCTATTAAATGAAAAGTACAAGGAATTTAGTAAGCTTAATTCATTGTAAGGCTATTCAAAATAGCCACAGAAATTGTATGACCCAGTTTGGTTCAAATATCCTGACAATTCGTATTTTATATAGATAACTAAATCTCAAACGAATCATTTCTCCTCCCCGTTAATACTCTCCATACCTAAAAAGAAGTGACTCTGAGTCACAGGGGCGCCGGAATCTGAGGATAAAAGCACACATTTGACAAAAACATTTTGGATACTATAATGTAAATTCTAAATCAAGATGTAACATATTATTTTGTAATATAAACTACACAGAATAAAGGTCTATAAAATCACCTGGCCTTGAGCATAAATTAGGAGAGGAAAAGAGAGAGAAGGAAAAGTCATTTATAAATGATTTATTAACATTTCAATTTAGTCAACAAAGAGAAAGCTCAAAAACTAAGAACTGTATTCCTAATTAAACTTTTAAGAAGTGTATTCATTGGAAATATTAAAGAGGCTAAATATACAATTCAAATGTATTAAATTTCTAAGACTATAGTTACATAAAATTTATTTTCAGATGATAGAAAAATTTCACACTTTGAAAAATAAGAAAAAATATAAAACAGCTTAGAGAACTTTTAGCTTTATTGTTATAAATTTCAAAAGAACAAAATCCCTGTAACAAAATATTCTTATTTATAGGGCTTCATTCATAAGAAAAAGCTTGAATCTCTGATAAAGTATAATCTTTTTAATGTTATGTAAATATCAACGAAAAGAGCAGAGAGAGACGCATATTTACTCGATATACAATATTCAACTAGATCCTATTTGCATAAAAAGTAATGGAAGGTTTGCCTACAAGACTAGTAAGAATCAAAATAAAAAACATTTCTTCTGAGTCCATTCCTGTCCCCACATTAAATATTCAACAGTTTAGCAAAACCTCAAAAACCAATGGGAAAAAAGCACAACTGAGTACAAGGGCAAAGCTGAACTCTGGAATGACAATGAACTTGCTATGATACAAACTACGTGATGAAAAACAGAATGAAAAAGTATAGGACAATCTCTCTTAAAAAAGCACCCATTTTAATTTTTTTATTTATTTTTTTCCCTTCATGGAAAAACACACTGACTGCCTTCAAGCTGTTTTCTCTATCCTTCTGTCTACAGAAGTTCAACATCGTTGCAAAGATTAAAAGAGATATGATTGTGTGCCCACAATTACAAAAATACAGACTTTAATCTGGGACGTGGGGAAAGAGCTAAGCATCATGTGGAGAAAGACACAAAACAACACAAAACGATCCCCTACAAAAACAAGCAAAATAATTTTGTAGTCCAAACCGGAAGACTGCCCTAGAAATGAAACTTTTAAATGTTGAATTTCTTTTTTTTTTTTTTTTTTTTGGAGTTGCATACATTTTTTTAATCCAAAGAAGTCAGCCTCCTAAGTATTGCTTAAACAGGTTTATCAGAATTAAGTAGGCACGACACTCATACTTTCAGAAAAGCATTTGCAGCCAGGGGAGTAACGTGGCACTCACCAGCATGATATCTGTTTTGCCAACTTGCTGAGGAACGAGTAACCTGAAATGAAGAAGCGAGAATCTCATCCTCAGCCCCCCAACAGCTTCCTCAGCTTCTTTTTATTCTGAGTCACTCCCTGAAACAGTCGCTGCATCTAAGACCAGCCTCGGGCTAAACCCAGCTGGCCTGAAGGCTCAACTCACATCAAACAGAGCTGGGAGTTGCTTTTGCGTGTGTCCGCAGTTTGAAGTGTCCTCTCCGAAGGTGAAGTGGAGGAAGCAGGTGCGCTCTGGGATGAAGTGCAGGGAGGCAAACTCTGGCTGGGTTCCTGTAAACATCCATGGCAGTTGCAAATAATGAGAAGCCGAGGCCAGGCCATCGGTGTGACGCTGCAGGCAGATGAGGTCTTGGGACGCCCCTTGCGTTCCCCCTTCTGTGGGAGCAGGTGCCTTCCCAATCTCAGCACTCAGTCCCAATCTCTCTTCCACTCTCCTGGGTCCAAACAGGAACCTCTCTGTTGGCACGAAGCTTTTGAGGGTAGCAGGCAGGCCTCGGAGGCAGGGGAGGGTCTCCTCCTGGGGAACCATCCCCGTCCAGATGGTGCCCCCAACCAGCTGCTGCGGCGCCATGATCTGGGCGGCTGGTCCAGGGCGTGGGTTGCGGATCGTGGAGGGAAGAGGGGAACGGCAGTCGAGACCCTACTCCAAGTACCCATCAAAGACGTCGAGCTCCGAGTCAGCATCGTAAAGGCCCGAGCCGGGGTCGGAGAGCACGCCGAGGTCCACGAGCGCCTGGTCCATGTCCTCGAACAGGAAGACGAGGCCCACGTTGAGGACGATGTACTCCATGAGGAAGGCGTAGTACAGGATCAGCACATTGACGAAGAACAGGCCCACGTAGAACATAGAGGGCAGCAGCGGCGGCGGCACGTAGGGGACCAGGGGGCCCAGTGCGTCCAGGTGGGCCGCGACCCGGGCGCCGAGCATGCAGCCGGTGGCAAGGGCGGCGGCGGCCCGGCGATCCCGGCGAACTCAGCCGCTGTGGCGCCCGGGCGGCCGGCGAGGGCACAGCGCAGCCATCCAGGGGTACCCTGGAGCCCGACAGAAGCAGGGCCGGGCTCCAGATGTCCCCTGGCAAATGCGCCCCGACCCCCGAAATGCGCCGGGCGGGTCACCGCACCCCGAGATGTGCCCCCAAGGCTCTTTCGACCGCCCTGAAGTGGCGGGCCCCCCTGAAGTGGCCGGCGGCTGCCCGGCTCCCTCGAGGCGCCTCCCTGGCGCTCGCAGGGCCTCGCAGAGCCGGCGGGGATCCCACCGCGGCTCAGTGTCTAGGGCCGGTCCCGGCAGCCCTCTCTCCCGCCCGGCCCCGCAGGTCCTAGCGTCGCCCTCCCCCCCGCGCCCCTGCAGGCCCAGCACCCATGGCTGCGGCCGCGGCGTCGCCCTCCGAGTCGCGCTCAGAGCCACTGCTTTATGTTCAAAACTGAAAAGCATAGATGATACACATTGCGTTGATACTCTCTGACAAGCTCGTTTGCATACATGTTTATATTCCTTGGCTTTGGATTCAGAATGATAAACTGCACCTATAGTAGAAAATAAAATCCAGTTGTTAATTGTTAAAATATCAAGAGACCTTGCTTATGTTATATAAATACTCCAATAAACTGATGCTGTCCTAGTAAAAAACAAAACTATTGCCCTAACTGTATGGAGTTTTATGATTTCTTTCTCCAATGTAAGCCTTTTTAATACCATGCCTTATCTCCGTTTTCAAAAGCTCTTTTCCTGCCAAAAGCCCTAAAAATAGCTCATGTCCCCAGAGGCTTCACCAAGGTCACCTCCCCTCTTCTTTTCAAGAAGCTTTTTCCAAATCAGGAGTTCTTTTGATCTGGAGCTAACAACCCAGAAGGTGTCAGGGACAGGGTCCCTCCAGGTTCCTCTCTGCTGAAAGCCCCTGCCATTTGGGAAGTTACTGTTTCAAATCCAGAATTCATAAGAATAATTCAGAAAGCTGGATTGCTTCTGAACAACATTGGAAGTTGAGGCATCTTACATCTCACATGTCCACAACCACCACCAATTGCACCATTCCTAACCAAACACTTCACGTCCTCTCAATAAAGTTGCTAGATTAGTCTCATTTCTTAAAAAGCTGTTTTTTGACAAAATGGGAGAAAATTTTCGCAACCTACTCATCTCACAAAGGACTAATATCCAGAATCTACAATGAACTCCAACAAATTTACAAGAAAAATACAAGCAACCCCATCAAAAAGTGGGCAAAGGATATGAACAGACACTTCTCAAAAGAAGACATTTATGCAGCCAAAAAGCACATGAAGAAATGCTCATCATCACTGGCCATCAGAGAAATGCAAATCAAAACCACAATGAGATACCATCTCACACCAGTTAGAATGGCGATCATTAAAAAGTCAGGAAACAACAGGTGCTGGAGAGGATGTGGAGAAATAGGAACACTTTTACACTGTTGGTGGGACTGTAAACTAGTTCAACCACTGTGGAAGTCAGTGTGTCTAGATCCTCAGGGATCTAGAACTAGAAATACCATTTGACCCAGCCATCCCATTACTGGGTATATACCCAAAGGACTATAAATCATGCTGCTATAAAGACACATGCACACATATGTTTATTGCGGCATTATTCACAATAGCAAAGACTTGGAACCAACCCAAATGTCTAACAATGATAGACTGGATTAAGAAAAGGTGGCATATATACACCAACGAATGCTATGCAGCCATAAAAAAATGATGAGTTCACGTCCTTTGTAGGGACATGGATGAAACTGGAAACCATCATTCTCAGCAAACTATCGCAAGGACAAAAAAACAAACACCGCATGTTCTCACTCATAGGTGGGAATTGAAGAATGAGAACACATAGACACAGGAAGGGGAACATCACACACCGGGGACTGTTGTGGGGTGGGGGGAGGGGGAGGGATAGCATTAGGAGGTATACCTAATGCTAAATGACAAGTGAATGGGTGCAGCACACCAACATGGCACATGTATACATATGGAACTAACCTGTACTTTGTGCACATCTACCCTAAAACTTAAAGTATAAGAATAATAAAATTTTTTTAAAAAGTTGCTTTTTGGTAGTTTATATGTAACACTGTAGTTCTATATGTACTTGCAAATAGCTATAGTACCAGTAAAAAATGTGATAAAATGAAACTCACATATGCCAAAAATACTTTGATTTAGCGCTTCATTAAGTGCATGATTATCTGCATCTTTTGATTTACCTATCTTTACAATTTTCAGCTGAGATACTTAGAGGTCACATAGTAAATTAAGGTTTTCTTTTTTTAAAATAATCTCCATCTTTCTAAATTTGGTGAGTCCAGTAAGTTATTTTTGAGATGTTGAAATCTGTGGCTTTGTTCTAAACTTGAGCACAGAAATCATGCCACTTACGAAATATGCTTTGTCTTCCAACATCAGAGTGTCTGGTAGAAGGTGACTGTTCTTGGAATTTAAAAAATCTTAACAGGAAAAGACAAGAATCTGGACACTTTTTCTGTTTCTGATAATATGGCTGAGTAGGTAGACATGCTGGCTAGTCCTTGCATAGATCAAGACATACTTGAACTTGCCAAAAAAAATAAAAAATCCAGAGTCTCTAAGAATGAAGATGAAGTGAAAATCAGAAGGGCTATTGAGAGAGTAATGGGGAAGCAGCCCCAGTTATCAAGGGACGTGTGCATGTGTTCATTAAAAAGTTTCAGATGTAAAAAAAGTTGAGAAAAATAATGTAACTGCCCTACATATACACATCATCAACAATTTTTCATTCATGGCATGGACAGTTTTTTGTTTTTGTTGGTTTTTTGTTGTTTGTTTTTAAAGGTGGGATTTTGCTGTGGTCGCCCAGGCTGGAGTGCAGTGTCATGATCTTGGCTCACTGCAAATTCTGCCTCTCAGGTTCAAGCGATTCTCCTGCCTCAGCCTCCCAAGTAGCTGGGATTACAGGCACCCGGCACCACATCCGGCTAACTGTTGTATTTTTAGTAGAGATGATGTTTCACCACGTTGGCCAGGCTGGTCTTGAACTCCTGACCTCAGGTGATCCACCTGCCTCAGTCTCCCAAAGTGCTGGGATTACAGGCGTGAGCCACCACACCTGGCCACAGCCAGTTTTGTTTCATTTATATTCCCACTTCATTTATATGCATTCCTTCTTCCTCTGAATTATTTTGAAGTAAAATCTATACATCATATCATTTTTTAATTACCGTATATGTATCTGCAGAAGACAAGGAATTTTTAAAAATAAATATATTCACAATGCCATTAAATACCAAAAAAATTAATATTCTGAAAATAGCCACAAATCCAGAGTTCACATTTTCTTGACTTTCTCATAGGTGATTTTTCTTCTAGGTTTTCTATTTAATCAGGTAACTGTTTGCTCATATTTACATTCCTTACTGAACAATGTCTAAACTTAAACTGACATAAAACGCACATGATCTTCTGACCAAATGCTTAGTGCAAGAAAAAACTTCAAACTGCAAGACGAGTCCCTCCAAATATAGAAAGGACCAGTATTTTAGGAGGTATGTTAACTAAAATGTGGCAATGTAAGGAGCAAAACAGGAAGAACCTTTAAGTCCTAAACTTACAAGTCAATTTCCTAGTCAGTTTCCATGGTCCTTCCACAACAACCTCTGGCATCTGTATTCTCTACAATGGAGGTAACAATAGTAGCTATTTCAGAGCAGGAAAAGGCTTAGAGCAGTGCTGCAAGAGGGTCGTGGCTATATAAAGTTTAGCTATTTGTATATTGTAACAAACCCCCTTTTTTTTTTTTTTTTGTCAATAATAGATTTCTTTTGGAAAAGTAGCAGCCTCCTGTCTGGGGACAACTGCAGTTCCACTAAGTGAACATTGGTGTCTGCTCGCCTTTGCCTCTATTTCTCTCAATAATATACTGTCAAGCTGTTCCTTGATTTAGCAATTTTATGTACTTTCTTTTTCTTCTTTTTTTTTTTTCCTGTTTTCCTGAGACACAGTCCCGCTCTATCGCCCAGTTTGGACTGCAGCAGCGCCAACATGGCTCACTGCCACCTCACCCCCACCCCTCTCCGGCTCAAGCAATCCTCCTACATCAGCCTTCAGAGTAGCTGGGACTACCCGCCGGGCCCACCAGGCCCCGCTAATCTTTGTGGTTTTTGTTTTGTTTTTCAATTAAGGGACTGGGTTTCGGGCCAGGCGCAGTGACTCAGGCCTGCAATCGCAGCACCCCGGAAGGCCGAGGCCGGCGGATCACCCGAGGTTAGGAGCTGGAGACCAGCCTGACCAACATGGAGAAACCCCATCTCAACCAAAATAAATAAATAATAAAAAAGTAGCCGGGCATGGTGGCTCACGCCTGCAATCCCAGCCACTCAGGAGGCTGAAGCAGGAGAATCACCCAAACCCGGGAGGCGGAGGCCCGGGAAGCCGAGACCACGCCACTGCACTCCAGCCTGGGCAACAAGAGGGAAACTCCGCCTCGAAAACAAAACAAAAACAAAAACGGGTTTCACCATGTTGCCCAGGCGGGTCTGGATCTCCTAGGCTCAAGCGATTCACCGCGCTCAGCCGTCCAAAGTCCTGGGATCACAAGCGCGAGCCATGACACCAGGCCGATCTATTCCTGTCTGATTAAAAATTGGGCTGGGCGTGGTGGTTAACGCCTGCGATCCTAACACCCAGGGAGGCCGAGGCGGTCGGATAACCTGAGGTCAGATTGAGGCCAGCCTGACCAACATGGAGAAAACCCCATCTCTACCAAAAAAAAAAAAAAAATACAAAATACAAAATTAGCAGGGCACGGTGGCTCATGCCTGCAATCCCAGCCACTCGGGAGGCTGAGGCAGGAGAACCACCCAAACCTGGGAGGCCGAGGCTGCGGGGAGCCGAGACCCTGCCACTGCACTCTAGCCTGGGCAACAAGAGCGAAACTCCCTATCAAAAAAAAAAAAAAAAAAAGAGGGACTGGGTTTCACCATGTTGCCCCAGCCGGCCTGGAACTCCTAGGCTCAAGCGATCCGCCGCGCTCGGCCATCTGAAGTCCCGGGATCACAAGGGTGAGCCACCACGCCAGGCCCATCTGTTCCTTTCTGATTAATAAATTGGGCCCGGCGCGGTGGCTCCCTCCTGCAATCCCAGCACCCTGGGAGGCGGAGGCGGGCGGACCACCTGAGGTCGGGAGTTTGAGACCAGCCTGACCAACATGGAGAAACCCGTCTCTACCAAAAAAGAAAAAAAATAAAAAGCTGGGCATGGTGGCTCACGCCTGCAATCCCAGCACCCCGGGAGGCCGAAGCAGGCGGGTAACCTGAGGTCAGGAGTTTGAGACTACCCTGACGAAGGGAGAAACCCCGTCTATACCAAAAAAAAAAAAAAAAAAATTAGCCGGGCATGGTGGCTCACGCCTGTAATCCCAGCCGCTCCGGAGGCTGAGGCAGGAGAACAACCCAAACCCAATAGGCGGAGGCCGCCGGGAGCCGAGACCGCGCCACTGCACTCCAACCGGGCAACAAGAGTGAAACTGCCTCAAAAAAAAAAAAAGACCGGGTTTCACCATGTTGCCCCGGCCTGTCTGGAACTCCTAGGCTCAAGCGATCCCCCACGCTATTCCTTTGTGATTTATAAATTGGGCCTTGGGCGCTGGCTCAAGCCTGCAATCCCAGCACCTCCGGACGCCCGAGGCGGGCGGATAACCTGAGGTTGGAGTTTGAGACCAGCCTTATGAACATGGAGAAACCCCATCTCCAACAACAAAAACAAACGAACAAAAAACAAAATGAGCTGGGCATGGTGGCTCACGCGTGCAATCCCAGCCACTCGGGAGGCTGTGGCAGGAGAACCACCCAAACCCGGGAGGCGGAGGCCCGTTGAGCCAAGACCTCACCACTGCACTCCAGCCTGGGCAACAAAAGCGAATCTCCGCCTCAAAACAAACAAAAAGTGACCGGGTTTCACCATGTTGCCCAGGCAAGTATAGAACGAACTCCTACGCTCAAGCGATCCGCCGCGCTCAGCCGTCCAAATTCCTGGGATCATAAGCGTGAGCCACCATGCAAGGCCGATCTATTCCTTTCTGATTAATAAACTGGGCTGGGCGCGCTGGCTCACGCCTGCAATCCCAGCACCCCCGGAGGCCCAGGAGGCGGGCGGATAACCTGAGGTCGGGAGTTTGAGACCAGCCTGATGAACATGGAGAAACCCTGTCTGTACCAAAAAAAAAAGAGAAGAGAGACCGGGTTTCACCATGTTGCCCAGGCCGGTGTGGAACTCCTAGGCTCAAGTGATCGATCCCCCGCGCTCGGCCGTCCGACGTCCTGGGACCACAAGCGTGAGCCACCACGCCAGGCCGATCTATTCCTTTCTGATTAATTAGTTGGGCTTTGCGTGCTGGCTCACGCCTGCAATCCCAGCACCCCCGGAAGCCAAGGCGGGCGGATAACCTGAGGTCCTGAGTTTGAGACCAGCCTGACCAACAGGTAGAAACCCTGTGTGTACCAAAAAAAAAAAAAAAGAAAAAAGAAAATTAGGCATGGTGGCTCACACCTGCAATCTCAGCCATTAGGGAGGTTGAGGCAGAAGAACCACCCAAACCCAAGAGGCGGAGGCGGCGGGGAGCCGAGACTGCACCACTGCACTCCAGCCTGGGCAACAAGAGCGAAACTCCGCCTCAAAAAAAAAAAAAGAGACCGAGTTTCACCATGTTGCCCAGGCCTGTCTGGATCTCCTAGGCTCAAATGATCCCCAGTGCTCTGCCATCCAAAGTCCTTGGATCACAAGCGCAAGCCACCAAGCCAGGCCCATCTATTCCTCTCTGATTAATAAATTGGGCGGGGTGCGGTGGCTCACACCTGCAGTCCTGTAGAGGGATTTTTAAGGAATTAGATAGACTCATGGGGTTTAGGAGGACATTTATTAATTATTTAGGTGCACCAGCCCAGTCGGATTAACATTTAAAGGATTGAGTACTGAACCAAGAGTTACCTTTCAAGCATTATGTGGGGCGAAGGGGGAGATCTGTGCAGGGAGAAGCATATTATAGAAGCGAGAAACAAAGATACTTATTTAATTGAAACATACATTATATTATTTTTTACTATTTAAGGAAAAATATGTTTTGTGACGAGTTTGTTTAGTGACCTTGCAGTTGCACAGTTAGGGAATTAGTTGGGCATGGTGGCTCACACAATCCCAGCCACTCGGGAGGCTGTGGCAGGAGAACCATCCAAACCCGGGAGGCAGAGGTCCCACAAGCCGAGACCTCGCCACTGCACTCCAGCCTGGGCAACAAGAGCAAATCTCCCCCTTAAAAAAAAAATGTGACTGGGTTTCACTATTCTGTCCAGGCCGGTCTGGAACTCCTAGGCCCAAGCGATCTGGCGCTTGATGTCTTTAACCTATGATTGAAAGCATATTAAGATCTTGGGTGTATCAACAGTCCAGAGGTCAAGAAGGAAATTCCTGGAATGTGAAATATTCTGCAACAAGAAAGGCAATTGGAGAGGTGACTAAATTCACTGCAGTTGTTTTGCCCTCTTCTTTCTCCTCTCTCTCTTTCCTGGAAGTCCCCTAGTACAAAGTAAAAGAGATAATGGCTTTTGGAGTGCATGTTTTTCCTGGAATTGGAAGGAATTTTAACAAAGGAGCCCTTCACAATGAAACCCCCCCACACCCCTGCTTTTCACCTGAAGCAGGACAAGATCGGTGCCCCCACCATCATTCTCCATGTGACCCCAGGTGGGGATGCGGGGTGGACACTACTGATAAGCTCTTAGCAATTTCCCTCTTTATGGACTCTGAAGCTCCTTAGCTTGACAACTGATGAATAAGTTTTCTTTTGTGGGATAAGAGTAGGTGAATTTTCCCCCTGAATTCCCGTCCTGGGGCCAGGGAAGAGAGCCCAGGATCCCTTCTCTTGGCCGTCACACTGCGGGAAAGAGTACCTAGAGTTAAAAGCCTGATAAATGCCCTCGAACAGCTTTGAAAATCACGAGGTCAGGAGATCGAGGCCATCCTGGCTAACACGGTGAAACCCCGTCTCTACTAAAAAAAAAAAAAAAAAAAATACAAAAAATTAGCCGGACATGGTGGCAGGCGCCTGTAGTCCCAGCTACTGGGGAGGCTGAGGCAGGAGAATGGCATGAACCCGGGAGGCGGAGCTTGCAGTGAGCGGAGATCGTGCCACTGCACTCCAGCCTGGGCGACAGAGCGAGACTCTGTCTCAAAAAAAAAAAAAAAAGTGATTATTATATACTTTATTTCAAAGATGAAATGTATGACCATACAGCAAAATAAAATTGGGATAAAAAAATAACCTGAAAATCAGGAAACAGGAGAAACAGTCTAAACATTTAGTTTTGTGGTCTTGCCTAATTATTTTTCTTATGGTCAATAAGGAATAATTTAAAATGACCTTATTCCTGAGTACCTGGAGACTTCTAAGAAGTTTTTAAGAATAGTTTTATGTTGAAGAATCATCCCAAGAAATACTTCCAAGATATATCTGTGTTGCCATCCTAGTTACTATAAACCAGAGAAAAATATTTTAATTACTCTTTTTTAATGAATATGTACAAAAATGCTTCATTATAAATCTAAAATATAGGAATATGTTCAGTAATTGATTTTTGCAAAAAGTATGTTATTATTATTTTTCCCTAAAGCAGGGAGAGAACTGTAGCTTCATAATCTGAGATATCAGGTAAGGAAGTCCTCCCCTATTCTTTTTTAAGGAATAAGCTTTTTATATTCCTCTCTCCAGTCTCTCAGAGATAGCATCACATAACTCCCCTATGCTCTGTTGGCTCCATCCTCGGGGGCAAGTGCTATTTCACATCTTACTCTTAAATCACTTTTAAGAAATAGACATAGCTTCCACCAAAGAGGAGCCCTCCCAACAGACCTTTAATAACACCAAAGTGTTTCCATGTGTGCGCCCTTAAGCGAACATACACAAATGAAATGAATCTACAGATTATGAAGCCAGTTTTTATAAGTGACACATGAATATCAGTCATATTAGACACACTCCTGCCGAGTATTGTAACAAATCTCTTTTTACCACATACATGAATAGCTGTCCCATATATTCATAAAATATAAGAATTTTTTTTGATTAATAAGCTTCATTTTTTAGAGTAGTTTTAGACTCACAGCAAAATTGAGTGGAAAGTAGAAGAGTTCCCCTAGACTCCCTACTCCCTTACACACACAGCTTCCCCCACTGTCAACATCCTGCACCAGAATGATGCATTTGCTATAATCGATGAACCTACACTGACGCATCACTATCACCCAGAGTCCATAGTTTACATTAGGGTTCGATAAAATAATTTTTTACAACTTAAATCCCCCAATAAACTTAACATTACTTCTCTGGGCCATACGTTTTTCTGCATCAGTAAAATGGGATAAGAATATTTATTTGGAGCTGGGAGTGGTGGTGCATGCCTGTAGTCTTAGCTTCTTGGGAGGCTGAGGTGGGAGGATTGCTTGAGCCCAGGAGTTTGACGCTGCAGTGAACCATGATTGCATCACTGCACTAAAGCCTGGGCAGCAGACTGAAACCCTGTCTCAAACAAAATAAAACAAAGATAACAAAAAGGTAACATTTATTTGGAAGGTTTTGTGAGTATTATTTGGGATACATTATGAAAAGTGCTAGCACATTATGACTATTCAGTTATGGTTAGTTAACTTTATCATTAAGATCGTTATAACCTGTAGGAACTGACCCTGCTACCCCAATCCTGTCTTTGAAGGAGCAAACCCATATGGGAATAAAAATGACTGGCTCCCCTCCCTGCCTTGACCTGTCATTTGAGTCTACCTAATTATAAAATGAACAGGGTTTTAAGTTTTGAACCTATTCCCTGTCATGGTGGGTAGAAAATCAATCACTACACCCCTATTTATAGAACAATCAGAACAGAGGAAAAGACCCGATTTTGAATTCCAGCCATACATTAATTGTGTGCCTTTAGGAAAATCACTTAAGCCTGTTAACATTCATTTTATTCCACTGAATAATAATACACGAAAGCACTTTATATACTTGAATGAACTATGCTCATTTACAGGGTTCTGCGCATGACACTGCATCTGTAAAACTGAGAAACCAACAAAGTGAGGGCAGAATGAAAAAAAAAAACTTTCAGAATGTTCTTCCTTTCCTCAATGCCATACAGTTTGTGCAGTCAGCTGATTGGCTGAAAAGAGTCAGTTTTGACGACTGATGCTTCCTGCTCATGTTTAGTTGGTTTAGGAAGCTCATTAGGATGCTATCTCGGAGATGAGTCTGGTGGGTAGAATATCTGATGACTGTAAGGCAAATGTGCTTCCTTCAGCTGGTGAATTAATTTCTCAATAGACTCAATTTGCTTTTTACCAACTGTCTGGCAATATCCGATATTTGCAATAGTCTTTCAAACACTTGCAATAAAATCTGGCTCACACACACAACCTGTTAGCGGTGAAAGAGAAACATTCATCACATTCAAAATTCTCCAAACATGAGAGCAGCTGAATGTGCTTTAAGACAGTATACCTAATGATACATCTCTATTTTCCCCTTCCTCTTACAATCATTTACACAGATATATGAGAGGTAAATATGTGTTTAGAAAGTATTAGTCATCATAGATGTACCTCCAGTCATCTATTCAACTGTAATCATGGTCAAATATGCACTTGTACAACTTTATACTATCAATGAGTATAGGTAGGTGAAAATTAGTGTTGCCAGAAAAAATCCAAACCAGAAAACTGAAAGTATAGAAAAATTATACGTTATGTCATTGATAAACCATTTTAAAATAATATATCACGTATAGAATAAAAAATTCCGTGAATATATACATGCAAATTATACATATATGTGAATTTAATTTTATTAAAAGGTAATTGGCATCTGCAATTTCATGCAGTCTAAGTGAAACCCATAAAGAAATGTGTATGAAATAGGAAAGCAACAAAAGCTCATAACATTTTAAAATTAGAAATCAGATTCAAAACCAATCATGATCTATTTTAAATTTCTCTCTATAACATTTCAATTGAGACATAAAACACACTTTATACAACATGCCTCACTATTTTATTAACAGCATGACTTCCCTTTCCCCAATCCCCAAACCATGTTCCCATCTACACCCCACCCCACCCAACTCTCACCTCTTCCATTAGCATTATTACAAACATATTTTACAAATCTTATATCAAGCTTTTCCACTCTGTCTCTTTTAAATGTAGAAATATCTTATATATAAACCCGAATACCACAAATCTTCACATTTATATTTTCTAAAGCAGTTAAATCGTTATAGACAATTCTACCTAAAAAGCAAAATGCGCTTGACAATATGTCATGTTATGTTAAGTTGACCAGACACAGAAGTCATTTCTGTCGGATTTCTTGTCGATGTTTGCATTAAGTTGGAGCTTTCTGATCTCGGCTCCTGTTGTGCCAGTAATTTGAAAGGTCACCTCTCTGTTGGCCTTTGGCTTATGCAATGCAGTCTGTCAATTAAAAGTCTCAGCCGGGCGCGGTGGCTCACGAGGTCAGGAGATGGAGACCATCCTGGCTAACACGGTGAAACCCAGTCTCTACTAAAAATACAAAAATTAGCCGGGTGTGGCAGGCGCCTGTAGTCCCAGCTACTCGCGAGGCTGAGGCAGGAGAATGGCGTGAACCCGGGAGGCGGAGCTTGCAGTGAGCTGAGATCGCACCATTGCACTCCGGCCTGGGATACTGAGTGAGACTCCGTCTCAAAAAAAAAGAAAAAAAAAAGTCTTGTAAATTTGTACATAGAATATTGAAGTTAGAAGAGGCTTTTCACTCTCTGGGCTCTAATACTGCCCAGAGGTTGTTTCTTGTTCCCATAAGAAAATCCTGTATGTCTCTCCATTACCATTCCTGATACTTACCTCCAATTCAAAATGTGGCCAGTTCCACCTTCTAAGCCTTTATACCAAATTGACTGGGTAGGTTTATTATGAATCTGTGTCTTTGTCCAAACTCTACATTAGACCTCCCAGGAGAGTTCAAACTAAAAACTAATGAGTAAGTGCAATATTACAATTGAAACGGGAGCAAACATAATTTCAAGTAGGACTCATAAAAACTGTGGGACCAAAAGAGGAAAAGTGCACGCCGAATGTTCTCAGTTCTGAAATGGCTCTTGTGAAATATCTATGTGAAAACACTTCAAGGACCTAAAAAAAAAATGGTGAAAAAGAGAACAATCTTCCTTGCAAAACAACTCCAGAGTTAATGCCAGAGCTTTCTATCAAAACATCCATGCTAAATTCACCAGAAAGATTCAGAAGATCAATGACAGGAGTAAGGGAAAAACAAGGACATTTTGTGAGTGGAACATATAATGACCCTGCAGCAGGAGACCCAGAGAGTGGGAAAAAAGAAATGGAGGGTGTAAGTAAATTAATTGCCTGTAACATGTTTAATGAAATAAGTAGACGTGTGATGCAAATTTCTTAATAGTCAAACATTATGCAACATATGATGCATAAGAATTGTACTATCTCAAATTTTTTTAATGTGAGATTTTCTTGATGCCACTTTCATTTACCTACACACACACAAATGGCACAAATCACATATACATATACTGACACGAAAATACATATGTGGGAGGGAGAGAAAGAGGGAGGAAAACGTTAATCATGATACATTGCCAGTGTAAGAACTCCCTTTTGGCCGGGCGCGGTGGCTCACACCTGTAATCCCAGCACGTTGGAAGGCGGAGGAGGGCGGATCACGAGGTCAGAAGATGGAGACCATCCTGGCTAACACGGTGAAACCCAGTCTCTACTAAAAATACAAAAAAAAATTAGCCGGGCGTGGTGGCGGGCGCCGGTAGTCCCAGCTACTCGGGAGGCTGAGGCAGGAGAATGGCATGGACCCGGGAGGTGGAGTTTGCGGTGAGCCGAGATCGCGCCACTGCACTCCAGCCTGGGCGACAGAGCGAGACTCCGTCCCCCTCAAAAAAGAAAAAAAAAAGAACTCCCTTTTTAGAAAGATCTTTTATTCAACTTACCAAAATTTTAATTGCCAATGACACAGAAACCAGCACAAATAAGTACTTGTAACTTACCCAGGTACAAGTGAATTTCTATGACTGAAATTCAGGGGCATTCTAAGCAAGAATAGTTCAATAGAAACTAATCTCATTATTTTTCATTTTTATTAAGTCATATTTATTATTCATAGTGTGGTTTCTCATCAAGGAGTTATTTAACATGCCAAATGCCTGCACCTCTTTAACTAGGTCTTTATGCATAGGGAATGTTTAAATATCCACAAAAGTAATACATACTAACCAATTTTTTAGATTTTAACATATATATTTGAAGATACGTTTTCCCCAAATGTACAGTTCTTTGTGGCCTGGATTGCCTCAGGAAACTGCCTCTGCCTTTTGTGGGTATTATGGCAAGCAAGGGCACTGGTAATTTACTGCTGAGAAAATGCCTAGCCGTTTGCCTGATTATGCCACGTCATCTTCCTGACACTACAGAGCACGGTAACCTCATTTCCAAAATCAAAGAACAAATCTGAACAGCTACTGTTCCTGAGGCAAACAAGTGAATAAATTCCAAAACATGCCATGGACTAATTGAAGATGAATTTCAGGCAATTCTTTTTTTTTTTTTTTTTTTTAGCTGGAGTCTCGCACTGTCGCCCAGGCCGGAGTGCAGTGGCGCGATCTCCGCTCACTACTGCAAGCTCCGCTTCCCGGGTTCACGCCATTCTTCTGCCTCAGCCTTCCGAGTGTCTGGGGCTACAGACACCCACCACCACTCCTGGCTAATTTTTTTGTATTTTTAGTAGAGACGGGGTTTCACCATGTTAGCCAGGATGGTCTCGATCTCCTAACATTGTGATCTGCCCTCCTCGGCCTCCCAAAGTGCTGGGAGTACAGGCGTGAGGCCCTGCGCCCGGCTGGATTTTAGACAATTCTATGTCGTCTGTTGAATCTATCATCTGTTGAATCAGCTTTCTAGTAACTACACACTATAGAAGTGAAACCAACCTGTACTACCAAGAGTGTATTAATTTTGCATGCATTTCCTAGTAAACAATGTAGACAGTATTAATTTTTATGTTGCCAAGGTCATAGTTTTGTCCCTCAAGTCATCTGCTAAATTTTGCCTCACCTGGCTCAGTCAGAAGGAACAGAATTGACAATATTAACTGGTCTCAGTTATCTCCACTGACAGGAAAAAACGTGTATTTTCTACACGGACTGTGGGAATCAGCATTTTCTGTTATTAACTTAGATTTTTTTTCTTGCCATTTATCTTTATGATCCCAATGTATTGATGTATTTCTAACACTACAACAAGATTTGTGTCACTCAACTGTATGTGTTGTAATCATTATCTTTTAACCATTTATCTCCATGAAACTGATGTCATTGAAAGATAGAAAAGAGAAACAAAAAGCATAGAAGGGAGAGAGGGAGGGAGCAAGACTTTAGTCGTGATACAATGCCAATGTAAGGGCTCCTTTTAAGAAAGATTTTAAAAAAATTCTTCTTCAAAATTTCCATTGCCTCCTTGAATGAACTGTGAAGGATTGCAAATTCCTTTAAAACTCGGTTTTGGCAATGACTCTGGATTTCCTTCATTAGCTAGCTATGCAGAATTCATTTTCCAATGCTCTATTAAAAATAAAAGGCCGGGCATGGTGGCTCTCGCTTGTAATCCCAGCACTTTGGGAGGCTGAGGCGGGCGGATCACAAGGTCAGGAGATCGAGACCATCCTGGCTAACACTGTAAAACCCCATCTCTACTAAAAATACAAAAAATTAGCCGGGCGTGGTGGTGGGCGCCTGTAGCCCCAGCTACTCGGGAGGCTGAGACAGGAGAAAGGCGTGAACCCAGGAGGCGGAGCTTACAGTGAGTCGAGATCACGCCACTGCACTCCAGCCTGGGTGACAGAGCGAGACTCCATCTCAAAAAAAAAAAAAAAAAAAAAGAAAGAAAGAAAGAAAGAAAGAAAATTAAATAAAAATAAAAAGGGAAGATTCCCTTAATGTTTCCCAGTCTATTAAAGGTTTCCTTCCAAAAGGAGCTCATTCTGATCCCATTTAGTACAACACCCTCGTGTATGCCAGATGGCACAGGCATCATAGCTTCACAAATGTCATTCTGATTCTCACCTTTAAAATGAAATTCCCTTAGTCTACCTTTCTTTACATAAACTACAAAACTGTAGACAAAGATATGCCAAATTAAAAGCCTCTTTTGCTAAACATTCTAGAAATAATTTGAGAAAAATGGGCGCAATTTGAGACCTTAGTTGTCTTGGAAAGGGGGTAGGTGGGTATTTGACTATGATTCTGGTCGCTATTTCTCCTGTTAACTATTTAAATGTGTGACCTTAAAAGAAAATCATTCAGTCTTGTTGAGACTAATGTCTCATCCAAAAAAAGTACTTAAAATTTCTCCTATGTGTCTTATAGCGCAAAAATGTTCAATTCTGTTTCAAGCCATTCTAACATTTGGTTTATAAACAGGTATTACATCATCAAGGCTTACTGCAGGCCTCTGCGATCTTTATTTCAATTTCATTCCTTTTTAGGCTAGATGTAATTTTGGGATTTTAAAAATGGAATTATATGTTGTTATGGGTTGAACTGTGTTTTTCCCGAAAATATATGCTAATGCCCTAACCCCCAATACTTTAGAATGTGACCTTATATAGAAATAGAGTCTTTACAGAGGTTATCTAGTTAAAATGGGGTCATTAGGGTGGGTACTAATCCAATATTACTAGTGTTCTTATAAAAAGGGGAAAATTGAACACAAGGGGAACATGCACAGAGGGAAGACTATATGCAGACACTATATGGAAGACTGGGCTGACACATCTGTAAACTCAGAAACACCAGTGATTTCCAACAAACCACCAGATCCTGGGAGAGATGCAAGAGACACAGACAGCCTCCCTTATATCCTTCTGGAGGAAACTACCTTGACTACATCTTGTTTTCAGCCTTCTAGCTTCCCAAACCGTGACACAATAAATGTGAGTTGTTTTAAGCCACCCGGTTTGTGGTACCTTGGAGAGTAGCTCCTGCAAATGAATACATTGTTATAGACTAAAAAGTGCATCAATCATAAGTGTACAATTTTTATAATCTTTCAATATGGACTCAGTCATGTGACCACCATAAACAAGAGCACCTCAGAAGCCTCTTTCATGCCTCATTAATTTTCTTCTACCGAATAGAACACTTTTCTGACTTCCTCTACAATAGATTCATTTTTCCTGAGGAAATTTCTATGAATGCAGGCATATTTGTGACACCACAGATGTAGCAGCAGTTCTTTAATTGCTGTATTTTATTCCACTCTATCAATGATCCATAAAATATTTTTACATTCTGCTGTTGGTGGACAATTGAACTGTTTTGAGTGTCTGCATATAAAAATAATATTATAATGAAAGTCTTTTGGTGTAAAAAATTCCCAGTCATATCTGTTGGGTATATACTTAAATGTAGAATGGTTGGGTCATAGATAGGTATCTGTAAAACCAAACTGTGCTTTATTAATCTACTTATTTTTCTTTTAAATATTAATGTATAATTTACACATAACAGAGTGTACAGATCTTAAGTATACACCTCATTGAATTTTCACATAGCTTCATACACGGAACAACTCAGATAAAAAATATCTTACAGGCCGGGCGCGGTGGCTCATGCCTGTAATTCCAGCACTTTGGGAGGCCGAGGCGGGTGGATCACCTGAGTTTAGGAGTTCAAGACCAGCCTGGCCAGCCTGATGAAACCCCGTCTCTACTAAAAATGCAAAAATTAGCTGGGTGTGGTGGCGGGCACCTGTAATCCCAGCTACTTGGGAGGCTGAGATAGAAGAATTGCTTGAACCCAGGAGACAGAGGTTGCAGTGAACCCAGATTGTGCCACTGCACTCCAGCCTGGGTGACGAGAGAGAGACTCCACCTCCAAAAAAAAAAAAATCTTACAAATACCCCATAAACCTTCTTCTTGCCAACTCAGTCAACTACAACCCAAAAAAAGATAACTCCTATACTGACCTCTATTTATATAGATTCATTCCATTAATGAATTAATGTTAATAGGCTGTTAATGAGCTTCATAAAAATAGTATCATGCAGTATATATGCTCCTGCATATGGCTGATTTTATTCAATATTAGGTTTTCAAAATTTATGAGATTCTTGTATATACCTATAGTTCATACTTTATAATTTTAATAGGGGTATTCCATTTTATGAATATATAACTGTGTTATTGGATGATTCATCTGTTTCTAATTTTGGGCTACTATAAATAATGCTAATTGAATATCTTATATATATCTTTTGTTAGACTGAAGTACTCATTGATCTTGAGTATATATACCCAGGAGTGGAATTGCTGGGTCAAAAGGTATGCAAACATTTAACTTCAGTAGATCTCGCCAAAAGAATTTTCAAGATGGTTGTTCAGATTCACATTCACACAACAGTCTATAAGAGTGGTAGTTATTCCACATCTTCTGAAACAATCTTCTGAAACAATCTTCTGTATTAAAATTCTGGATTTAATCTTTCAAATTCTGGATTTAATATTTTTATATTTGTACTATCTTTTTTTATTCTTATTTCCTTTTTTGGCTTTTTTTTTTTTAATCGCTCTGTTGCCCCTGCTGGAGTGCAGTGGTGCCATCTCAGCTCACTGCAGCCTCCGCCTCTTGGGTTCAAGTGATTCTCCTGCCTCAGCCTCCTGAGTAGCTGAGATTACAGGCATGCGCCACCACGCCTGGCTAATTTTTGTATTTTTTAGTAGAGATGGGGTTTCACCATGTTGGTCAGGCTGGTCTGGAACTCCTGACCTTGTGATCCACCCGCCTCGGACTCCCAAAGTGCTGGGATTACAGGCAGGAGCCACTTCGCCTGGCCTTTTTTCCATTTTTAGAATAATTATTTATTTTTCATTTTATTAAAATACTTGTAATTCCTTTTTAGTACTTTTAGTTATCCTACAGAATATTTATTCTAGACTATTGTGGACTACCTTAAGTACCTTAGTTATCCTAGAGGATATAATATTTATTCTCAACTATTGTGGACTACTATTTCTGAAGTATGTTCGTACTTTTTCCACTTCTCCAACAATGTAAGGACCTTAGAGCAGTTGAACACTATTTAGCTACTCCCACTCTTTGTCATATATTTTATTCAACATTTAAACTTTGTAAAAGACAAGTTAATTATATTTATCCTTACTTCTCAGGTTTATTTTCATGGTGAATATTCTTTATAAATTACTTTTCTTTAATATCTTTCAGATTTTTGTATCAATGATTACTGGCTTCCCACAAAAAAATTAAAGTGTTCTTTCTTTTGTATTATTTCCTGAAAATGCTTGTGTAAGACTAGTTCAATTAGTTCCTTAAGTTTTGGTAAGGATTCACCAGGTAATCCACATGTGGTTGGAATTGTGTGTGTGTGTGTGTGTAAAATGTGTTAATCATAAATGTAGTTTCTATAATACATACAGAACTTACTCAGATCTTTAGAACTTCTTGTGCCAATATTTTAAGGCTTTTATTTCAGTTAATTTCATTGCTTCCTCTAATTGTATGCTTCTCTCTGGGATAATTTTTTCTTAGTCTGAAGAACTTTCCTTAGTATTTCTGTAGTTCAGTTCTCCTAGGCAAACATTCTCTCAACAATTACTTGTCTGAATATATTTTACTGCGCTTCACTTTTATGTGCTTTTTCACTGGTTATTAAATTTTAGACTGGCAAATTTGCCCCTCAGCATGTTAAAATGCCATTTCATTGTCTCCAGCTTCTATTGTTTTTGTTGGAATACTTATTTGTGCTCTTTTACTTACTTTTGAGAGTTTTGTTTTGGTTCAGCAGCTTATAATCTGCATAGGTAAAGTTTTATTTGTATTATATTCCTTAGGTTTTGTTAAGTTTCTTGCAAGTAGGTTGATATTCTTTATCAATTTTACAAAATTTTTGACCAACGGCTCTTCCGATATTGCTTCTTCTCCATTCTCTCTCACTTGTCTTTATGTCCAGTTTAGTTATAGTAGATGTTGTGACAGTGCCTTATGTCTTTTTTGTTCTGCTTTATTAAATCTCTTCAGTTGAGATTATTTCTATAGATCAATTTATATTATTTCTATGAATCTCTTTTCAGGTTAACTTGTTTTACTACATTTATTCTAAAGCAAGCCTATTCAGTGACATAAGTTCAATTATTATGTTTCTGTTTTAGAATATCTGTGTGACTTTTTATAGATATTTAAATCTTTGCTGCAATCTCCATCATTTCATCCAGTTTGCCTACTTTTATTATATTAGCAACGGTCATTCTAAATTTGTCTGCTAAATTCTGAACTGTGAATCAGTGAGCTGCGCTTATTGTGCACATGTGTTTTGATTAATACAATTTTTGCCACTTCACATATCTAGACGTTTTTTGTATCATGCTGGACATTGTGTATAAAAGAATAATAAAGTATTCTGGTAATAGTAGTTTTAGAATGTATTCCCACTTTTCTCTATTAAGCAGATAGTGTTGGGAGAAAGTCATTACCAATACAATCAGATATTGGAGCAGTCAGGATTCAGTTTTAGTTTCAGTAAGACTGGCATCTTTGGCTTATCTCTGTTTCTGAAGTATGTTCCTTTTGAGCTTTTGATTGAGAGCTGGTAGGAACTACTTCTCATTAGTCTCAAAAAATGTTGTTGGAGATTAAATTTTAATTTCAGGGGTATTGGGCTTAGCCCTTTAGCATTTCACCCTATTCAGCTTCAAAATCTTAGAAATGTGTTGAACAAGGGAGTTGGCCATGCTTTTGGGGCAGGCTCTCTTCTTTGCAATGAGTTTGTCTCCCAGTTGCTGTGATACTCTTGAAGATTTTATTCTGTCTCTTGAAATCTTCTGGAATAACTCCTCATTCTTGCATATATCACAATAATTCAGTCAATATGCCTCAGGGAAAATATCTTTTGTGTGCCACTGCTTATTTTACCCCTAATCCATATCTGGGCCAGGCCCAATCCTCAGCCTTCACCCATAATTATAAAAGACACTCAGAGAAACAGTCAGTTCACATTGGAAGGTTCATTAATCTATACATTTTTGTGGACCTATTTTGACCTATGCAACTTTCTTGGCATTCACTTTAAGTGCTTTATGCCTAATCAAATGGCCTTTCTTCAATATTTTTCCCAAAGCATCTCAATATTTATAAAATTATACATCTCATGAAGTTTTTAAAGGACTAAAGAGATCTTTCAAACGTACATATAGAATAAAAAGTCATGTTATCTTTGTTTGCATGCTCATCTTGGGAAGGAATGTACTACTCAAGATTTCTTTTTTTTTTTTTTTTTTTTTTTTGAGATGGGGTCTCACTCTGTCACCAGGCTGGAGTGCAGTGGCGCGATCTCAGCTCACTGCAACCTCTGCCTCCTGGGTTCAAGAGATTCACCTGCCTCAGCCTCTTGAGTAGCTGGGATTACAGGCACATGCCACCATGCCCAACTATTTTTGTATTTTTAGTAGAGATGGGGTTTCACCATGTTGGCCAGGAAGGTCTGGATCTCCTGACCTCATGATCTGCCTGCCTCGGCCTCCCAAAGTGATTGGATTACAGGCATGAGCCACGGCGCCAGGATTACTTAAATTAAAAGCATGCTGGAATTGGTTCAACAAGGATTTAAGATGGCTGTTCTAAACAGGTTTTGCTAATGATATTCCGAGTCCTCTGACACAGTAATGAAAGTAAAAAGTTCTTGTTAGTATAATAATCATTCTGAGCTATTAGTAATATATATTATTGAGAAGCTACCCTACGGGTATTTAGAAACCCTGGACAAGGGAGAGGCAGTAGATTTCAACCAACATATTCTGAGGAAGCAGCTTAAAATGTGACAGCATATCTTGTGTTTAGGTCAATTGGTCTAAGGTAACTCAAATGTATAAATCATAAAGCTTTAGAGATGTTCTTGGAGAGAAATGTGTAATAACATAGGTGTCAGGAAAACTACTATGGACCACTCTGTATAAAAGGTGCTGGGAGAGTAATTTACTTTGGCCCGCAAGGCTCAGGTTAACAGAGGGAGGAACAGCAAACAAATCCTGAGAACCATATAGGAGTGAATGACAGACAGGGATACCAGCATCTATTATCAAAGGACCCAGAGGAAACGGGGAAGAATAGAGTGGAGCTGAGTAAGTCAGTGTTCAGTAGGTTTTAAAAGAAGGTAACTATCAAAGGAGAGGAATATTGATCTCAGAAACATCCTTTCACCTGGAGAGTAAAGATGGCATCAGAAGGAGCACAGGCAAATGAAAACCTTGGTCCCTCCAGCATTGTCTTATTTCTTCACAAAGTAAAATTTTGTTGAAGACTCAAATTAGCCCAATAATTTCCTGGCCTGGTGTACATTGTGAAAGATAATATTTCACAGTGTTCTATGGGTGTATTTGTGCTTTTTTCTTTAAAAATACAAAAAAAACAGTTTTTAATTTTCACATGAATAATTCATTATCATTATAAAATTTTAGCCAATATAGAAAACTTTGTGATTAAATAAAAACTTTATACATTTCAATGTTAAACATCCCTCATAGGGCTTTTATCCCTGTTTACTCACAATTTGTTCATGTCCCTGCACCAGGCATGTGCCCTTAGACAGTTGAAACCTACTTAGATGTATCTGCTATTCTAGACCTATATCTGGTGTTTGGATACTTAGTTCGGCTCTTCTAATTCAAGGAATATTAATCTTTAATGCATTGAATCCTGAGTACCATTATGTATGTTTCTGCTTCTTGAACCCTGTTTAAGAGACCCCTATTTAGTTCTATCAGGAGAGAATTTAAACAACAAAAGGAACCTGGTGATGTTTTTAAATAATTGATTTTTTTAAACCCCATATAAGTTCAATTCATATTTTAAAAGTTAATATTCTAATTTATACATTAAGTACCAGTATCTTTTGATACATATATACAAGAGGCAGCATGAAAACCAGTGTTTACTTTTGGTGCAAACTGGCGTCCTTTTAGGGCTGCTCTCACCTGCTTTCACTCATGCTTTCATCCAAGTGTTCAGTATCATACTGTTTTTTAGCTGTTCCCTCCAGCTTTCCTAGAAGTATGCAATCACCCCCCACCTTCCATTATAATTCTTTCTCAATCAGTACTACTTTTCCTTCTGAGTAACTTATCCTTTCTAACCATTAGGAAAAAAATATGGCCAGTTGATTAAACCACTTAAGAGTTGAGTGGAAAGACTTATTCCTCCAAAATTGCACTTAAATATTAACGGAGGAGACTGTCAATTCAGAGCCATCTAAGCACCACGATGGCCTCCTCTTCTATATTGTACCCTGCATTTAAACAGTTTTCATCACATACACACAAATGCACACAGATGCATACCCACATGCACACTCCAACTTTTCCTTTCCATTTCTATTGTTAGTATACTACTTGTTTAAGGCAGTAACACCCCATATGTTTTAATGAGTTTTTTTTCTTTCTCTCCACTCAAATCCATTTTATGATGTAGACCAGGGATTGAGAAGCGTTTCCTGTCCAGGGACAGATAGTAAATATTTTTGACTTTGCAGGTGGCACAGTCTCTGTCAAAGCCATAGACATTACGTAATGAATGAGGACGGCTATATTCCAGTGAAACTTTGTTTACATGAATGAGCTGCAGACTAGATTTGGCCCATCGGCAGTAGTTTGTTGAGCCTGGATCTACATAAATCTTACTGATTGCAGATGTTCTCACATTACTTATTACTTAAAAATAAAATCAATCATCTCATTTCTTCAACAAACTTAAATAATTTGTCCTAAGTGCAAGACATCTATTTACTTGTCCTGTGATTTCACTACAGAATAAGATGTTAAATTTAGGCTGACAATTGAGACACATTTTCCTGTTGTCTTTTTCATATGCTTGCAATCTAGTGAAAATAAACTATTGACTTCTTTATATGTCTAATGAAATATTTTGCTTCCTTTCTAATGCTAATCTCTGTATGTTACTATCCAAAGTCCAACTCACATATACCTTTCCTCAAATGCTAATTGGATGAATTTCTCCATTAGGAAAAATTTCACAACATTCTACTTTGCACTATACCATTTTGAGGGCATCACCATTTTGAGGGTTCATCTCAGTGTCTAGTACAGATAACATAATGTCTTACACATCACAGTTGCTCGGAAAGTAATTGTTAATGCTTAAATAAAACAACTCTGCCAGTGGTTTTCCTACTGACTTGAACTAAAAATCTTGTTCATTTACCACTTCTCCCTCTCCTTTTCTCTCTTTCCCCCTCCCTTTCTCTCTCCCATCTCTCTATCCTCCTCTCACCCCTATTATTGGTAGGTCCTATAAAATCTTACCTTATAGAATCTCACATTTATCTTTTACATCATTCACACTGCTACCATCCAAATTCAGATCTTTCATACCTCTTCATTGGACTATTAAAATAGTCGAATTCCTTTCTGTCATTATCTCCATGCCAAACCATCTTTATTATTTATCTATTTATATGTAACATATCACCCCCAAACTTAGCATTTTAAAACACACATTATTTCAATTTTTGTTGGTGGGAATCCACATGTGGATTAGCTGTGGCCTCTGACTCTCACTCTTTTAAAAGTCTGCAGTCATCTTAAGGCTGGACAGGGAATGATTTATTTGCAGACTCACTCACATAGTTGTTGGCTTTAGTTTTGTGCCAGGTGTTGTGCTGTAAACTCCCTTGGTTCCTTGTCACGTGGGTCTCTCCACAAAGCATCACACAACATGGCAACTCTCTTTATCAAAGCAAGCAAGCGAGAGGGCAAGAGGGAATGCCAGCAAGAGTTGGGGGTGGCTAGCAAGGGGCAAGACATAGTTCCTTGTTAGCTAACCAAGGAAGTAACACCGCATTACTTTTGTTGAATTCTGTCTCTTACCAGCAAGGCACCAGGTCCAGCTCATACTCAAGAAGGGGAGATAATACAAGATATCGGGAGGTGGAATCAGAAACATGGGAGCTGTGTCAGAAGCCACCCATCCCACCACTCCAGATAGTTATCACTTTCTTCTATTATGTTATTTTTTTCTCCTTAAAATACTTAAATGACCTAGAGTAGTGGTCTCTACAGTTTTTTTTTTATCCTGCTCTTCACTCCCAGAGTATATTAGTTGATGCAGCAGTTTGTCTCTCTTCATTATCACCAAACTCACACATAATTCATGCATGTGGTAGAGATGCTCTGTGTATGCATAAGTCTGACTCTTCAGAATCCCTGTTATTGACATGTGAGTGACTATTGCTATCCATGAGCCATTGAATTTCTACTATCCTCATTCTCAGTGGTCAAAAGGGTTGATTGCTTTCTACTCTCTACTTCTCATTGTCACCTGGCTTCTGTAACAATGTTCCTGCCTATACTTTTTTCCTTTTTGCAATGTCATTTTCTGCTTTCTTGTGTAATTTCAAGTAAAAAGAACTTTTTTAAAACAGTTTCTACCATGGGGTCCTCCTGAACAGTGTGACTTCTCTGCCCAAAACAGTTGTAACGTCCAGCTGTTTTCAGTAATTTTTCCTAGTTGGAGCTCAAAGAATAACACGAGAGAACTAATTTTTTTTTCATTCTGTCCAGACTAAGATGGGAGGGCTGATAATTCTGTTAAACTATTGCAGGGATTGCTAAGATTTTATTGCATGAATACGTCTGTCTTTCTTTGGATGCCTTTTTTTTTTAAAGCACAAAGTTAACTGTAATAAGGATGGTTATTTATATTGTTTATTTATATGTACCTTTGAGATTTCAATTTTTGTTAAATGAATATTTATTAAGTCATTATGCACTAGAAAACAGAGAAAACTGAAAACAAAAACCTAAATTGCGAGGATTTTTCAGTACTACTGTAACTATATGCAAACTCAAAGCAGTTTTTTTGTGTTCGGTGGCGCTCTGAAATCCTCTTCTGGATACCTTGCCAAGTCCAGTATTGTGGAAGATGGCGTTATGGTCCAGATCACTGCAGAGAACATGGATTCCTCGAGGCAGGCACTGCTAGAGACGAGGGACTTCAGCATCACCTGTGGGAAGGCAGACGCGGAGGATCCCCAGGAGCGCATGCACATCCGGTGGGTGGATGATGACAAGAACGTTAGCAAGGGTGTCTAAGTCCTATAGATGGGAAGTCCATGGAGACTATAACAAATGTGAAGATATTCCACGGATCAGAATACAAAGCAAATGGAAAAGTCATCATATGGACAGAGGTGTTTTTTCTAGAAAACGATTCCCAGGATTTCCTAGAAATCCTAGTGCTGGGATTACAAGGAAACGATGACCGGCACAATTGCCTCAGTGATCCTACGGATCACAGTAGATTGACTGAGCATGTTGCCAAGGCTTTTTGCCTTGCTCCTGAAGCTTCTGAAGGAGGATGGAATGACCAAACTGGGACTACGTGTAACACTTGACTCAGATCAGGCTGGCTATCAAGCAGGGAGCAGCGGCCAGCCCCTTCCCTCGCAGTCCATGAATGATTTGGACAGCGCCTTGGTGCCGGTGATCCATGGAGGGGCCTGCCAGCTCAGTGAGGGCCCTGTCGTCATGGAACTCATTTTTTATATTCTGGAAGCCGGGCGCGGTGGCTCACGCCTGTAATCCCAGCACTTTGGGAGGCCGAGGCGGGCGGATCACAAGGTCAGGAGATGGAGACCATCCTGGCTAACACGGTGAAACCCCGTCTGTACTAAAAAATACAAAAAATTAGTTGGGCGTCGTGGCGGGCGCCTGCAGTCTCAGCTACTTGGGAGGCTGAGGCAGGAGAATGGCGTGAACCCGGGAGGTGGAGCTTGCAGTGAGCTGAGATCGCGCCACTGCACTCCAGCCTGGGCGACTGAGCAAGACTCCGTCAAAAAAAAAAAAAAAAGTTAGATTAACCTTTTGTTAACACTATTAATTGGGCGGGGAATAGGGTGGGAGTGGGGGTTTGGGGGATGGGTGGGAAAGGGTGGTTGGGGGGACAGATGTTCCATAATTCTAAGTCTTTTTTCTATGCACTCTCCACCAAGAAGATCTGGGCAGCTTCTGTTCCTGCACAACAGTTATGCTATCCTTACAGGTAATCCCCTTCTGTTAGTGTTTAGACAATAATTCCACTCCTCTCTCAAGATTTACTTACGGTCATGTGCCCCGAAATGCTCAGATGGGCACAACCATCACCAAAGGTGGGATGGGAGAGCAGAGGGGAAATAAAATATGAAGCATCAGTTAAAAATAATAATACTAATAATTTGAAAAATGTTTAATGAAGACATAACTTTGTAGAAAAAGGCACACCTAAAGAAGGTTATTCAAGACAAAATTAAGAATATATTTGCTAATATATGCTTTGAATTAATTTTTGATGTTTCTTATGTATATATTTAAAAAGCAAACGTATGAATTTTAATCATTTTTTATTCATAGGAAATGTATAGGGGTTCATAAATTTTGTCACTATACTTCTCTGACCTTATATATTCAGTTTTGTCCCCTTGTTTACAATCTGACTGAGCTGTAAAGGTGTAACCATTAACCAATCAAAGTGAACATTAAAAGGTCAGTGCATTACATATTTTAGCTGCTTCCCAAAAAAATGGGTAAGGCATTCAAATTTTGGCATATTTTTGCAAGTCCAAACTTGTAAAATAAATCTGTGATTACATAAATGAGACTGGCTCCCTGTAAAATTTGTAAAAAACATGAGAAGGAAGTTCAATTCCCTGTCTTTCCCTTTTTATTATATTTTAAAGTCAGTCTCCAAAATTCTAGTAAGTTGATATAGGAAGTACTCCAGTTATCAATGTCATAACAACCTTATAAATATTTTCCAGGCTGCAAGTTTCAAAATAAGAACTTCCTTCCTATTTACAAATTAGCACATGGACATACTTTGGAATTATTTGTGGGTATCAAATAACTTTTTATTTTTGCAAATATTTGTATCAATAACTTCTTTCCTGCCTCAGCCTCCCAAAGTAACTGGAATTACAGGTGCCCACCACCAAAACCAAAGAGTGTTTATTTATTTTTTATTTTTTTTTATGTAGAGACAGGGTTTCTACATGTTGGCCAGGCTGGTCTCAAACTCCTGACCTCAGGTGATCCCACCTTTCTCGGTCTCCCAAAGTGCTAGGATTACAAGCATGAGCCACCCCACCCAGCCAGTGTCAATAACTTCTATCATGACAATTATCCATTTTGGCCATCAGTTATTTGTAAATAAGTGATAAGACATTTTGCCCTCATATCTATTTGTGATCAAAGGAAAACCAGTACCAAAGAATATTTATTTTCTGCATGATCAATGTGATTGGAACATATATAGTGTCTATATTCTTTGTTATTAGTGTGAAAAATAATAAGCAAATAATTTGTGTTTTAAATCATTTGTAAAAATTGTTTTTGTTGCCAATATATTTTAACCATTCTGAAGAGAAGGCTAAAAAAGATTTTTGCGTCTTTTTTTTTGAGATGGAGTCTTGCTCTGTCACCCAGGCTGGAGTGCAGTGGCGCGATCTCGGATCACTGCAAGCTCTGCCTCCCGGGTTCACGCCATTCTCCTGCCTCAGCCTCCCGAGTAGCCGGGACTACAGGTGCCCGCTGCCACGCTAATTTTTTTGTATTTTTAGTAGAGGCGGGGTTTCACTGTGTTAGCCAGGATGGTCTCGATCTCCTGACCTCGTGATCCACCCTCCTTGGCCTCCCAAAGCGCTGGGCTTACAGGAATTAGCCACCGTGCCCGGCCAGGTTTTTGCCTTTATAAGAACGAATGTAAGGAATAAAATTAGATGGCTAAAAATGGGGGATTGGGGAGGGGAAGACTGGCCTATTGATTAGGAGAAGGCCAGGAGTAAAGTCTGCCAGTAACATTAAAGATATGAAACCATAACCTTTGTTATACAATTTTATCCATTGCATAACAGCAATGGATGCTGTTTCTGTGCTGAATGGAAGGTGAGGTCATAGCAAGAAAGCTGCCTACAAGGCCTCATTTACAGGGAAGTTTTGAGAAGCTGGAGAAAATCTGAGAAAAAGCATATATGATGGTTGGAATTAAACCATCTACAGAAAGTATGTTCTAAGGTATTAGGATAAGCACCTAATTAAGCACCAGCAGGCTGAAGCAAGCAGAGGCGTCATCGGAGCTACGTGTTCACACCGTGCTGGGACTGAGAAGAAGCTGAAGGCAGTATCTCTTCAGAAGTTTCAGGCATCCGGGCATTTGAGAGGCCAAGAAGTCTGTGGCTGCTAAAAGCAAAAGGGCCAGCAGATTTAAAAAAATAAATAAATAAATAAAAATAAAAAACGTTGATTTTTAAAATCTAGAAAATGTCACTGCGAGCGCAAGGTAAATTGTCACTGCAAAGATAAAAGGCACCCTCATTTCCTAAGCTTCCTGTTCTCCACATACAATTTATTTTTTAAGATTTCTGGGCAAAAGTAATTACTGCTTGATCTGCATCGAAAACTATTTTAATTGCTATATTTCAGTATAGCATGTGATATGTGGAGCATTGCTGCTATCACTGGGCGAATGTCAGAGTCAGTAGATGTGTGATTTGTTGCAAGTTACTTCTAGCAAAGGCTGAACTGAAGTTTCTTTCTTTTCTGACCTTGATTATGATAATTGAATGAGGTAATTGGATGAAAATATCCTTACTTTCATTTCAACCTTAATTTTTTCCTTAAAAATTTTATAGGCAAATACATTTGCCACTTTCCTCACCTTTCAGCAATTTTTTCAGAAAATAACACACTTTTCATTTGGCCATTATCCTATTTAAAAGGAGCCATGAATATCTTGCGAATGAGAGAAAAGGAGGTCAGGCACGAATAAGATGTGATGACATTTGGAAGTCTGAAAGCGAATAGAATTGTCCTGACAGTCTAGCTAAGGAGAAGAGACACACCACTCTGAGTACTCACAATGCCAATGTAGTGGCAGTTTTTCCAAAAATCACTATGGATGATAAGAACTGGGAAGAGAAGCAGAAATCAAGAAGATTGAAAAGTTGCATATGGCAACAGCTATGTGGGTCAACCTTCCACATACTTCCCCTATCGCTTCCGTTGCCTATAGCCTTTGCACAAAGGATAAAGTCACATAAATATTCTTGAGAACAACACGATTTGTCCAGAAAAGGCTCAGTGAGACATAGCTGAATGATAGTTAGATTTGACGGGTTAATTTAGCAATTACTTGTGTGACTTCTCATCAAAGAGCAGATGTGAGTTACAGCATCATCATAAATGATGGTGAACAGATGCAGACCTGAACCAGAACTTCCACCCAACCCCCACAAACGTGTCTCCCCACTGTGTGACTAAGCCCATCGTCTCTGGAACAACTGGTAGGAAAGTGTGAGTGGGATCATCAAATCAACTACAAGAAAATCGAACAAAGGATTCTGAAGAGTAGAACTGAGGTTACAACAGAAATGTATTCAATAATACGGAAAATAATTATGTCTATCTTTTTAAAAAGAAGAAATACTAGTTTTACTTGGACATATGTGGTTGAAGGAGAGGGGCTGTGGGCATCTATCCTCCCCTTCAATGGCAAGGTATCAGTAACTGCTCAAAAGAAGAACTAGTGGTCTTTTCAGAAACTTTACTGTTGGGATTAAAAAGTATGCTAGTGGACAGGAAATAATATTACCACAATGATTTCAAGATGAATTAAAAAGGCAAATGTTGAAAGCTAAATTTCAAATTCATTTGAATATGAATTGATATTTACATAATCTGGAGTGAGGCAGAGCCTGCATAGAGCTGGACACCATAAGGGAAAGGACTATAGATTAACTAGATAAAATTTCACATCGCAATTTTCCAAACAAAATTTTATCCTGTTTAGTAAACATCACTTAAACACAATTTTAACATTATAAATATATCTGCACATATACATGTACAAATGTGTTATTTATGTAGAAAGAGTTAAAACAGATCAACAGCAAAACATGCATTTTTGTACATAAGTGATTAACAAGGGAGGGTAATGTGCTTCTTTTTTCAAAAATAGTCACTAGCTTGGGCACAGTGGCTCACACCTATAATCCTAGCACTTTGGGCAGAAGTGCTTGAATCCAGAAGTTTGACATCAGCTTGGGCAACATAGCGAGACACCAACTCCACAAAATTTTTTTTTTTAAAAAGCCAGGCATGGTGGCACACACCCGTAGTCCCAGCTACTCAGGAGGCTGAAGCAGGAGGATTATGTGAGCTGGAGGTCGAGGCTGCAGTGATCAATCAGGCCACTGAACTCCAGCCTGGGTGACAGACTTCATCTCCAAAAACAAAAAATAGTCATTAAAAAGAAAGGCCCTGCTGCAAAAGAAGAAAGGCAGTGGATTTGTCATACAGTCTAACTTTTATGAAGAGTTTACTTACTGCTACTTTTAAAGGGTATCTTACAGTCTGTAAATTGGCAGATGGAATAATGACTTGTACTTCCCTCTTATGAGTAATTAAAGCAGCTTATTTTTGTTCAGTGCTTCAACACCTTCATTTACTGTCTGATTAGACAACTTTTCTAGAATCTGCTATCTGCAAACCCTCCTCTCATATGCAGATCTACAACGTGTGAATATAACATTCCTGATTATATCATGACCACTCCCAGTGGGCTCTGCTGGTAGCTTGTTTTGTATAGGTATAGATCCAGTGCTGTTTCCTCTTTATTCTTTTTATTGAGCACTCTTATACATATATGGTTATGCAGAGATAACACACTGTCAATACAAAGATTTTCAGAATTTATTTGACAAAATGACACAAAACTAAAAATATCATTTACACATGAAATTCAAAGAACGCATTATTTTTCCTTACAAAATTGTGGAAAAATTAATTCAGATAGTAACATAGAACTAGTTCTAAAACTAAAATGCTAGTGTGAATGTATATAGGAGATATGGTTTGACTGTGTTCCTACCCAAATCTCATCTTGATTTTTAGTTCCCACAATTCCCACATGTTGTGGCAGGGACACAGTGGGAGGTAACTGAATCACGGAGGTGAGTCTTTCTCATGCTGCTCCCATGAGACTGCATAAGTCTCATGAGATTGGATGGTTTTATAAAGGGGAATTCCCCTGCACACATGCTCTCTCTCTTGCCTGCCACCATGTAAGATGTGACTTTGCTCCTCATTCACCTTCTGCCATGATTGGGAGGCCTCCCCAGCCATGTGGAACTGTGAGTCAATTAAACCTCTTTACTTTATAAATTACCAGTCTTGGGTATGTCTTTATTAGCAGTGTGAGAACAGAGTAATAGAACAGGCAAAATGAAGGAGTTTATTTTAAACCTGCTTTAAATTATTTCGTGGTTAAAGTATTTAAAACCTTTTCTTCTATTTTTAGGAAAACAATGAGAAAGCTAAACACAGGTCTAACTTGTTATTCAACTAAAAATTATTTTAAAAATATTTGAGTACAGACTTCTGGCACCAGCCAAGACAAAGCATGCTCACCAAGGCCTATTTCTCTTTCTGACTGAAATTAAAACTCTGGACATAAAAAGCAACTATCAAGGACTCTTAAAAGTAAACAATAACAGATGGATTGAAGGCAAAATCAAAATACCAATAGTGACCTGTAACAGGGGTGGGTTTAATGGCTATTTTTTTTTTTTCTAACCCAGGTGTGCAAAATTTCTACTGTTTTTAGCTAGAGAACCAAGAATGAAGCCTCTGCAAGATGGAGCATATGTAGAGTGTTGGGAGCAGGCCCCCCAAAATCTGGCCATAAACTGGCCATAAATAAAATCTCTGCAGCACTGTAACATGTTCATAATGGCCCTAACACCCATACTGGAAGGTTGTGGGTTTACTGGAATGAGGGCAAAGAACACCTGGCCTGCCCGGGGTGGAAAACCGCTTAAAGGCATTCTTAAACCACAAACAATAGCATGAGTGATCTGTGCCTTAAGGACATGCTCCTGCTGCAGTTAACTAGCCCAACCTATTCCTTTAATTCGGCCCATCCCTTCGTTTCCCATAAGGGATACTTTTAGTTAATTTAATATCTATAGAAACAATGCTAATGACTGGCTTGCTGTTAATAAATACGTGGGTAAATCTCTGTTTGTGGCTGAGCTCTGAAGGCTGTGAGACCCCTGATTTCCCACTTCACACCTCTATATTTCTGTGTCTATGTCTTTAATTCCTCTAGCACCGCTAGGTTAGGGTCTCCCTGACCGAGCTGGTCTCGGCATAGAGAAATAATTCTTTTGTTTTTCTCTTTCTTCCCCACCCAGCCTTGCCTGGAAGCCAGCTCTGGTTCTGAAGCTGCTGTCATGATACTAGCTGTGTAGTGGCAGCAATGCACAGGCACTGAGAACTTCAAGAGAGACAATCTCTCTCATTATTTCTCTTTAAAGAAAAAAAAAGGGGGGTACAGACACTTATGAGAAAACAAAAACACATGAAGACAAATATAAAAATACAATACTAAGATATCAAATCTAGCAATATTTAAAAACAATACTTTACAAACAAGTGATTTATACCATGAATGCAAGGCTGGTTCAACATTCAAAGCTCAACAGATATAAATTGCAACATTATTAGGTAGATGAAGAATAAACGTGTCATTTCAGCAGATGCAGCAAAAGCATTTGACAAAATTCAATAGCTATTCTTTATAAAAACTCTCAGCAAAATGAGAAAAGGGAACTTATCCTGATAGAGGGCATCTACAAAACAAACAAAAAAAAAACAAACAAAACTACCACTAAATTACACTTAATGGTGACTCTCCAACTGATTTAAAAACTGGGTCCAAGGCAAGAAGTCAGATCTTTTACCACTTATATTCAACTTTATACTGATAGTCCTAGCCAGATCAGTAATGTAGGGAAAAAAATCAGTGACATCCACATCAGAAAGGAAGAAATAAACCTGTTTCTATTTTCAGACAACAGTCTATGTAAAAGTATTCAAAATAACCTATTAAAATGCTCAATATGCGAGTTTAGTAATGTGGTTATATGCAAACTCAATAAACAAAATCAATCATATTTCTATATATTACCAAACAACGTTTGGAAATAGAAACATACAAAAAATTATTTAGAATGACATAAAAAATAAAGTGTTTATGTATAATTTTACAAAAATATGTGCACAATTGGTATTTTTCCTCCCAAGTAGCTGGGACTACAGGCATGCACCACCATGTCCAGCTAATTTTTGTATTTTTAGGAGAGCTGGGGTTTCACCATGTTGCCCAGCCTGGTCTCAAATTCATGGTCTCAAGCAATCCGCCCGCCTCAGCCTCCCAAAGTGCTGGGATTATAGGCATGAGCCACTGTGCCAGACTCCCTATTTACTTTATTTTAAAAAACCTATTTACCTGTAGATAAATGTTTGAGGTGATAGATACGCTAATTACCCTGATTTGATCATTCCATATTATATACCTCAAAATATCACACTATACCTCATAAATATGTACAATTATGTGTCAATTAAAAATAAAACCAAAAAATTATTTTTTCAACCTTCATAGTAGCTTTTTTTTAATTAAAGGAATTTATCTCTAATAATAAAGTCAAATAGAACAAAAATTACAGACTGAGGATCATTTTGTGGAGGAAATACAAATGTAGGCCTGGAACAGAGGGCATAAAAAAATAACATCATCCTCTTAAGTATATACTTTAAAAAAAAAGAAAAAAGAAAGTTGTAGATATCAAAAAAAAACAACAACACATTTTACTTTTAACTGGGCACTTTCACTACACTTATATCACAATGCTGCCTGGATAACATTTTAAAGAATTGTTTATTACAAATGAGAGGAAATGCCAGCTAAAGTCAAGGGAGTTGAACAGTTTTCAGTTTTCCCTGCCAATCTAAACCACCAGTGCCAGTAAGGACTACTCAGTGAAGAGTGCAGAGCAGGAACCCAAGCGTGTTGTGATGTTAAAAACAGCAGTTATTTTATATCATGGGTTTTGAATCACTGATATTCTATTTTTGTTGTTGCTTTTTATTGATATACCAGAAATAATGTTATTTTTTAAATGTTTCATGTTCTGAATGACCTGTTCTTAATACTTTCCTCTTTAGAGCGGTCTTCATTTATTTCCCCAGAAGTGTAGATGAGGTGATTGTTTATAGAACTTACATCTTTAAATGCTCTCAATCGTTGGAGTGTTTGACGTTCTTGGTTGACCCATTCTTTTTTCTTTTGCTCCTTTTTATCTTGTCTCTTTTCTATATTTAAGCAGATGTATATTTGTAAATTGCTCAACATTACAAAAATGTGTGGCATACAATAAAAATGTCCTGACAAAGAAAGAGGCTGTACCCCAACATTACCACCCCAAGACTGCGCCCAGACTGCAGGCCTGGAGGTGAATTGGCTGACAGCTGCAGGTCCAGGGCAGCGCAACTCCAGTTTCCACAAGTCTAGGCCTGCATGTCACGCTACACAAACATAGAACATTTTCCTTCGGAGGACACTCACCATCTGAATACTGTGATGCTGACGAGAATATCTTATGCTTTCTTCAGCCTGTTGCAATCTGAGCCAATGATTTTCTTTGCACTGATCCTGGTGGAATAATACAAATCACCTACATGGTTTTTAGTGTTACCCTGGTATAGCATAAAAGGTTAAAAGAAGAAAGCACTGCATTTGGGCGTAGTGTAAGGCATTCATTAATATTAGTTCTGGTGCGGCCCAATGGTACTCTCCTCCACAGTCTATGATGAGAGTTGCCTGGCTGCTTATGGAAATAATTTGTTCCCAGCAGAGTGCTTTAAGAGGTGAAAACAATCCGCCAACCATGAGAGGACACACAGGCAGCCCCCATTCTTAAATGGGATGTGTCCCAACAATGTTTTAATGTGATTGTTTTAAACACATTTCCCCATAACATTATAAATACTAATTACATTTCCAAGCATACCTACAAACGCAGAGCAACTGAAAAATTGTTATAACTGTGTTTCACCTGTGCTTAACCACTCACTATACCAATATATAATATGCTATACATACATAAAATCCTTAATCTATGTAAAAAATAATACAGTAATACTCACAGATAATACTAACATTTATTGAGTAGGTTTTAGCTTCAGTGATAAATACTTTTCATGCCTTATGCTACTCTATCGTCACATGAAATTTGTATTATTACCACTATCTTTTTTTTTTGAGACTGAGTTTTGCTCTTGTTGCCCAGGCTGGAGGAGTGCAATGGCATGATCTCGGCTCACTGCAACTTCCGCCTCCTGGGTTCAAGCGATTCTCCTGCCTCAGCCTCCCAAGTAGCTGGGATTACGGGTGCCGTGCCTGATCTATCATCCTCTTTTAACAGAGGAGAAAACTGTGAGCCCAAAAGAGATTTAAGTAATTTGCCTAATGTCACATGACTACTACCTAAGTGGCCAGACTGCGATCTGAACCCAAGTTGAGAGCTCACCTCAACTACCATTCTATTAACCGAGTGCCTTCCAAATTCCAACATTTCCAGAATCAGTGGAAAGAGCTCCTCTAAATGGGGTAGGGGGAGTGATTATATCTTGAGAGTGAAGGTTAATGCTCCAAGTCTGGATAAGAGAAGGCACAGGAGCATTTTATATACATATACATATAACACTGCCAAGGAGGTGGAGGCATCTGTTCATCCACAGCACCATGGGAGTGCCAAAGGAGACTCCTCTTGGGGCTCATGGGTTTTCTGAAATGTGGAGCAAAGGGCAAATGCCTGTAGATCTTCAAATCCTCTGAATAACAGTTCCTAAATCCAGAAGTACAATTCTTAAACACGAACATGCAAAGAATATACTCTTCTAACAAATTTTTTTATTTTTAATTTTTATTAGAGACAGGGTTTTGTTCTATCACCCTAGCTGGAGTGCAGTGGTACAATCACAGCTCACTGAGGCCTCAACCTCCTGGCCTCAAGCAATCCTCCTGCCTCAGCCTCTTGAGTAGCTGGGACTATACGTGCGCACCACAGAGATGAGGTCTCCCTGTGTTGTCCCTGGTCTCGAACTTCTGGCCTTAAGTGATTCTCCCACCTCAACCTCCCAAAGTGCTGGGATTACAGCCATAAGCCACAGCACCTAGCCAAGTTTTTTTTAAGTATTTGTATTTACATGGAAGAGTAATTAACATTTTTGTAAGCTACAAAAGTCACAATTTTCATGTTTTCTTAATTCTAACAAGAAAAGTATAGTAGGCTCGGCACAGTGGCTCACGCCTGTAATCCCAGCACTTTGGGAGGCTGAGGCAGGTGGATTGCTCGAGGTCAGGAATTCAAGGCTAGTCTGACCAACATGGTGAAACCCCGTCTCTACTAAAAATACAAAAATTAGCCAGGCTTGGTGGCAGGCACCTGTAATCCCAGCTATGCAGGAGGCTGAGGCAGCAGATTCGCTTGAACCTGGGAGGTGGAGGTTGCAGTGAACCGAGATCACGCCACTGCACTCCAGCCTGGGAGACAGAGCAAGACTGCGCATCAAAAAAAAAAAAAGGGAGAAAAGTATAGTAAATATGAGTAAATACAAATAAAAGTCTGTATAAAAATGATATATAGAAGCTTCCTTTTCTGTCAGAAAAAATTAAATTTCTTAGTGTTATCTTTTTATGTATTCATGGATTTTTAAAAATTAAGAAAAAAAATCACCAAATACAAGGTCTGAGGTGAGCTGAATATTGTTATCTGTAATTGTTTTGTGTACTAAAATATATTTAGAATTATTATAGCTGGTTATTAGAAATGGAGTTTCTACCTATTGTGGTTTTTAAAGTACCTGTGGTCCGGGGGTGGTGGCTCACACCTGTAATCCCAGGACTTTGGGAGGCCAAGGTGGGCGGATCACTTGAGGTCAGGAGTTCAAGACGAGCCTAGCCAACATGGCGAAACCCCGTCTCTACAAAATATACAAAAATTAGCTGGGCGTGGTGGCACGTGCCTGTAAACCCAGCTACTTGGCAGGCTAAGGCACGAGAATTGCTTGAACCTAGGAGGCAGAAGTTGTAGTGAGCCAAGATCATGCCTCCGCACTCCAGCCTGGGTGACAGAGCAAGACTCTGTCTCAAAAAAAATAAAAATAAAGTGCCTGTGTATGCAGTGGGAATTCAACAAATAGTTGTTGAATGAATAAATTAAAACCTTGAGATTTGCTAAATGCTTAAAACCCAAAAGAAAAAAATAATATTTTTAAGAAAAATATTAAAAATCATTTTAACTATAGCCATGGATAAGTTCATAAGCACACAAAAAATTAATCACTGTGTTGGTAAAAACCTTATTTCAATACCTCTTTATCCTTCATACAAGAATAAATCTCTGGAAGAGAAAAGAAAAGAAAGCTGCTCTGAGCGTACCCACCTTTCTACTCTGGAGAGAAGCTCTTTTGACACAGATCCTGCCCCGTTTAATAGACTCCAGCTGCTGGCACTGCCTTCTGAGTTCTTTCACTTCCGAATTCTTATCGTCCTGCAGCCCCACCACAGTCAATGACTAAGTTCCTCTGGACTTTCACATGGATCGTAATAGACAACTTCATCCTGTTTTTCTAAAAAGGTATTAATGATTGTTTAAAACATATTTTATTATTTGTAAAAATACATTGAATTTTTTTAAATGTAAGGAAAATAAAGATCACTTGTAATCCCACCACTGAGAACCACTATTAACATATAAAAAATCTATGTGTATAAATGTAATATACATATACACATGTGTATATATACATGACTATACACATGTATGTAAGTAGCATGTGTGTATATACATGTAAGTAGTATATGCATGTATATATACCTGTATAGACATACGTATATATACACATGCACACACACACACATACTACTTACATAGCTACACGTATCAATGGAGTTCTAAAAGAACACTTTCCATGGGATGGAAATAAATTTTTAGGCCAGGTGCGGTGGCTCACGCCTGTAATCCCAGCACTTTGGGAGGCCAAGGCAGGCTGCACACCTGAGGTCAGGAGTTCAAGACCAGCCTGGCCAACATGGCAAAACCCCATCTCTACTAAAAATACAAAACTAGTTGGGCACAGTGGCGTGTGCCTGTAATCCCAGCTACTCAGGAGGCTGAGGCAGGAGAACAGCATGAACCTGGGAGGCAGAAGTTGCAGTGAGCCGAGATCGTGCCACTGCACTCCAGCCTGGGCAACAGAGCAAGACTCCATCTCCAAAAACAAAAAAAAATTAAAAAAGATAAATTTTAATGGCAGCATAGTATTCTCTAATTTAAGCAATCCATGTTGTTAGGCTGTTCCAATGTTCCATTATTATTCATTTCACTGTGATGAACATCTCTGTATAAATCTTTGTGTATGCTTTTTATCACTTCCTTAGCAGATAAGTGTTTAAGGATCTTGATACCCATTGCCACACTGCCCTCCAGAAAGGCAACTTATATTCTACCAGCAATATATTATTAAGATGCCTTAGTGATATTTAATCTTGATTACATATTGATTTTTTAAAAGTCATGCTTACTGTAACAAATTCAAACCCACCCGAAGTACATCAAATAAACAGTGAAATTCTATTGCTCCTTCCCCAAACCTTCTGAGTCATTCTCAGAGGAAAAACATTACGAACAATTTGGCATGCATCCTTCCAGATTAACTTGTTTTTTAATGTAATTTTTTTCCTAAATATGTAAAATGCTTATAACCTGAAACTACTGAAAAAAATTCTGAATACTCAGGATTAAACTAAAAGTTCAGGATCTATGTGAAGAAATTTATTAAACTTGGAGGAACTTTAGGAAAAAAGATTTAAATAAATGGAGAGAGACATACCAAGTTCTTGGGTAGGAAGATTCAAAATTGCAAAGACCACTATTCTCCCCAAAGTAATCTCTAATTTTAAGCAAAATCACAATCAAAATTCCAAAGAGTTTTTTGTTTTGAACTTGATTCTAAATTTCATCTGGAAGAATAAACGAGTGAAAATAGTCAGAAAACTTGTGAAGTAATGTGGGGGGTACTTGCCTTACCAGACCCTAAAATGTGCCTCCAAGACAGTCGTGGGAACAGTATGGAGCCAGCAGCAGAAGCCACTCACGAACCAATGGAGGAGAACAACTCAGAAACAGACCCAAGTCAATCTAAGGTTTAACTGGAGAAATGTTAAACATTTAGGGAAAATGTTTTTAAAATCAGTGATTGGGACTGCTTAACAATTTGAGGGAAAGGTTCAATTCCTACCACAATCAAAATAAATTCCACCTGGACTAAAGAATTAAATGTTTTAAAAAATAACATCATAAACATACTGAAAGAAAACATAAGTATATATTGACATAATTTTGGGATAGGAGACTATTGCCAGACATAATACTAAAAGCAGAAGCCATAGGGGAAAAAAATCGATAAACACGACTTCATAAAACTTAAATATTTCTGAAAGGCAAGAAAACGCAAATGACAAGGAGAGATTATTTGCAACATATGACAGACAATAGAGGACATTATTCTTAATGTTGAAAGGAAATATTCCAAAGAAAAATGGACAAAGACTATGAATAGGCATTTCATAAAATAAGTACAAATGGCTTGTAAACATACAAAATTTTGTTCAATAATCACTCATAATTAAATAAATGAAAATTGGAAGACTGCCATTTTCTCTGTCAAGTAAGCAAAAATGCAAAAGAATGGCATGAGTCTGGGAAACATACACACTCATATTCTGCTGATGGGAGCGTCTTTTTTCTTTTCTTTTTTTTTTTGAGACAGAGTCTTACTCTGTCGCCCAGGCTGGAGTGCAGTGGTGCCATCTCAGCTCACTGCAATCTCAACCTCCCAGGTTTAAGCGATTCTCCTGCCTCAGCCTCCCAGGTAGCTGGGATTGCAGGCACCCACCACCACGCCCGGCTAATTTTTGTATTTTTAGTAGAGACAGGGTTTCACCACGTTGGCCAAGCTGGTCTTGAACTCCTGACCTCAAGTGATCTGCCCCCTCTCAGCCTCCCAAAGTGCTGAGATTACAGGCGTGAGCCACCACGCCCAGCCTGGGAGCGTCATTTTAAATGTACGACCTATCTAGAGGGCCACTACATAGTATGAAATTTAGAAATCAGAAAATAATACGGAGGTGAGGAAAAATGTATCTCAGATGACTGCTGTATTGTTACGTAGCAAAATGTAAAATATACATTGCCCTTGACCCAGTAATTCCATCCTTAGATATTTATTCCAAGGAGATAATCTGTCCTATACTCAAAGACATGTGTAAAGGAAAGTTCACTACACTACTGTTCAAAACAGCGGAAATTTGGAAATCACGGTATATCCATATAATGGAATACTATGCAGCCATTAAAATTTTGATACTTTTATTATTTCTGAAACAGAAAGACAATTATTATGTATTAAATGAAAAAGAGACTATTATGCATTGTATGCCTGTGTCAAAATATCTCATGTAACCCATAAATATATGTATCTGCTATGCACCCCTAAACATTAAAAAATTTTAAAAAAGATGTTACTGAACTGGTTATGTAGTTTTGGTTAAAAATTTATATTTTTACATATCAGCATATTTTGAAATCTACAAAGTTATACAGCAAATTGTTACCACTAAGTATCCGTCTTTTTTTTTTTCTTTTTTAGACGGAGTCTTGCTCTGTCTTCTAGGCTGGAGTGCAGTGGCACGATCTTGGCTCACTGAAACTTCCACCTCACGGGTTCAAGCCATTCTCCTGCCTCAGCCTCCCAAGTAGCTGGGATTACAGGCACGTGCCACCACATTGGACTTTGTATTTTTAGTAGAAACAGGGTTTAGTATTTTTGTATTTTTAGTAGAGACGGGGTTTCACCATGTTGGTCAGACTGGTCTGGAACTCCTGACCTCAAGTGATCTGCCCGCCTCAGCCTCCCAAAGTGCTGGGATTATAGGCCTGAGCCACTGTGCCCAGCCAACCATTGAGCATCTCTAGATGATGGGATTGGGGTAATAATCATTTTTCTTTCTTTGTTTTGCTATGTGCTAACAATGAATATATTATTTGAATAATAAACCACTGAAGGAAAACTTTAGGAAATTTTCAGATGTTACAGTTTACAAAAAGTAATTGATAATATGGTCTGTATTTCCTTAAATTTATAAACATTGTAATCTATATACTTAAATAAAAACTTTACCTTTTATAAGTCTTTCAAGAGAGTCCAACTGTGTAGTAAGCAGTATTTCTTTGTTTTTTAATATCTCAAATTTAACTTCATATAGTTCTAACTGAATTTCATAAAATTGTATTTCTAATTCATCTACAACATTTATATTTTTTTCTTGTTCTGGAAGATCTTCCATCTTATTTTCATAGAAAAAAGAAAAATAAGTTAAAACAAATAGTATATTAAAAACAAACTTTAGAAGCATTCTAGCTATTTTCTATTCCTTGTTCCGTACTAAATATAAAAGAGCAAATAGGAAAGAAACACTTTTTCATTTCATCTAGTGATGCTAATACTTTATCCCATCCTTGAAACAGAGAAAAACATTTAGGTTTTGAGAAACATAAATGGCAATGAGGTATTATTATGTATTGCATATCGGTGTCCCCCCAAAATTCATATGTTGACACTGTAACTCCCAATGTGATGTTATTTGGAGGTGGGTCCTTTGGAAGTAATTAGGTTCAGATTATGTCAAAAGGATAGCACCCCCATCATGGGATTAGTGCCCTTATTAGAAGAGAAAGACAGGGATCACTTTCTTTCTCTCCAAACATACACACAGAAGAAAGGCTATATGAGCACTCAGTTAAGAAGGCAGCTGTCTACTAGACAGGAAGAGGATCCGCACCAGACAGTGAATCTGCAGGCACCTTGATCTTGGACTTCCCAGCCTCCAGAACTGTGAGAAATACATGTCCGTTGTTGAAGCCACCCAATCTGTGATATTTAATATTGTTATAGCAGCCTTAGCCAACTAAGACAGGTGTTTACAGTGTTTTCTGCTTTAAAGTCATAAGATTATAGGAAAAAACTTAAGTGTCTAAGATCCTTCAGGGAAGTATCTCTTTGATTATTTTAGAGCTGTACTGAAAACATTGCTGGATTGATTTTCAAGTACAGTACCCACTTCAATACTGGGCTTGGTGTTACTATAAAGTGAATCCTACAGTGTGGTATTTTGAAACATCTTAACCAAAGGAAAACTTTATGTCTAACCTTCCATAGGAGATGGTGTTGGAATAAGTGAAGAAAAGCAGCTCTTTAACAATGCCTGGAAAGAAAAGTGCTATCTAAAAATACAAGTGTGCTTTACCACATGGTCTCACTTATAAGTGGGAGCTAAGTAGTGTATACACAGACAGTGTGGAATAACAGACACTGGAGACTCAGAAGAGTAAGAGGGTGGGAGGGGGGATGAGAAATATTTAATGGGTACAATTACATTATGTAGGTGATGATTACGCTAAAAGCCCAAACTTCACCACTACACAATATATCCATGGAACAAAACTGCACTTGTATCCTTTATTTATACAAAATTTTTAAAAAATAAAAGTGGGGCGGGGCACGGTGGCTCACACCTGTAATCCCAGCACTTTCGGAGGCCAAGGTGGGCGGATCACGAGGTCAGGAGATCGAGACCATCCTGGCTAACACGGTGAAACCCCGTCTCTACTAAAAATACAAAAAATTAGCTGGGCGCGGTGGCGGGCGCCTGTAGCCCCAGCTACTCAGGAGGCTGAGGCAGGAGAATGGCATGAACCCGGGAGGCGGAGCTTGCTGTGAGCCGAGATCGTGCCACTGCAGTCCGGCCTAGGCAAAAGAGCGAGACTCCGTCTCAAAAAAAAAAATAAAAATAAAAAATAAATAAAAGTGTATTTTTAAAACAAAGTTACGTTTATCTTTGTCTTACCTTTCCCTGAATTTCAGCTCTTTTGCAATTTAAATACAATTCTTTCGCTCTCATGAGTTGCAGAGTCTCTTGAGCTAGCATTAGCTTAAGTTTTTCCAACCTGGGAATTGCTGTGGCCCAGGCAGCCTGGCCAAGTCTCTTCACATCCTGTTCCATTTCTTTTTGCATTCCTGTTGGATTATAAAAATAAAATATAATTACACCTCATTAAAAAGGGAAACATTGATCATGAGCTAATTCTTTTTTTATTGCCTCCATACTACCTGCAGAACATCTTTTTTAAAAGAAATTTTGTTTTATTAACTTTTTATTATTATAAAAATAATACATGGTCATTAATATACAATTTTAGGTATTCAATTTTTAAAAGGACAATAATAAGTCATGATCTCACCTAGTTGAGGCAACTGCTTCTTATATTTTGGCACACTTGCTTCCATATTGTTTCTATGACTAGCTAGACAGACAGGCTCATATGGATAGTTTGACCAAAAAACCAGGATCATCATTCTGCTTTATATCTTGTTGATTCTGTGCAATATATCAGAAACTCCTGCCATTTATAAAAAAAAAATCAAGAATCATGCTTAATAGCTATGTAGTTTTCTCTTTTATGAATGTACCATAACTTAAACTGACAGACATTAAGTTGTTTCCTATTTGGTGTTTTTATCAACAATTATTTAAGACTGAAAAAAAGTCCTTCACCCAGCCCACAAGCCCCTGCACGGTCTGATCCCTGCCTGTCTTGCCAGCATTCTCCCTCATACCACATTGTCCTGCACTCTCTGCGATCCAGCCCCGCAGGTTTTCTGTAAGCTCCTATTTGCCAACTTCCCTCAAGCCAGGGGACCTTCGCCAGTGCTATTCCTTCTGCCCGGAACACTCCTCACTTTTTCTATTCTCTCAATTTCCATTTACCCTTCAGATATTGGGGCAAGCGCCACTTCTCAGAGGCCTTCAGTGACCACGCTGATCAAGCCCAATTTCTCTCTCACAGACCCTCAGAGCCCCATGTCTCTCTTCTTTGTGCCATTTATTGTCACTGCCATTTTCTGTGTGCTTCAGTGAATAGATAATTAAGATTTCTCTCCCTTCACCAGACTGTACAATGTCTCTTAATGCTTGACACTGAATTCTCGCCACCTAGAAAACACAGTGCCTAGTGCGTAAGAGGGACTCAAATGGTATTTGAATAAAATGACAATCAATTACACGTATCTGCGTATAGCATTTTTTTAGATTATCACCTGCTAATGCTTTTACTGTCTCCTTAAAATAATTCACTGTGATATCTTGAATAGAGACGACAGCTTCTCCAGCCCGTCTGGTCCATTCTTCAGCTTCTTTCTCCAGGGCAACTACCCTTCTAGGACCTAGGTCATCCTCATCCAAGGACTTCTACAGACAGAAGGGAAAATTATCTTAGTAAGAGCTAATAGTTATGTAGAACCATTAGGAAATTGAAAGGAAATTGGTCACATGGATTAATTTAACTACACTACTACTCAGTCAGTTAAATTTTCATTCATTCAGCAGTCCCTTACTGCATATGAATAAGGCTCTAAGCTGAGCACCACCTGGAAGACAAAAGGACCCTCTGGGGCATAAAGTGGGGGGGAAAAAAAACTACTTTCACTTCACATGCCTAGAATAACTTTTTCTAGAGAGGAATGTTGTCAACTTATGCTTCTCTCTATTAATAATAATACACAATTGTTTAAATGAGTGATCTGTGTTGTCAAGCACTCAGCACAGGGCCTGGAAAACAGCACTTAAGTGTTAGCTGTTGTTATCATTTCTTTTAGGGATATGTAATATTATCACCTAAAAGACAGTATCTGTATATTCATGCTTATAACATGTACTGGTATTGGACTGAATGTTTGGGTCCCCCCAAAATGCATATGTTGAAGCCTAAATCCCCAGTGTGATGGGATTTGAAGATGGGGCCTTTGGGAGGTAATTAGGTCATGAGGGTGGAGACCTCAAGAAAATTGGGATTAATGCCCTTATAAAAAGAAGAGGAGACACAGGATCTCTCTCTCTGCTCTTCACCATGTGAAGACACAGCAAGACAGTCATCTACAAATTAAGAAACTGGCCCTCACAAGACACTGGATCTGCCAGCACCTTGATCTTAGACTACCCAGCCTCCAGAACTGTGAGAAAAAAGTTTTGTTGTTTATAAGCCACTAATCTACAGTACTTTGTTACAACAGCCTGAACTAAGACATGTACAGCTATGTCATCCAATATGCAATTTTTCTTCTACAAAGCATAAGAAATATGTACAAGTTAGCCGACAAGGAATTACAAATCAAAACGAGATACCACTTCACACCCACTAGGATGGCTGTAACCAAAGAGACACACAATTACAAGTGTTGGTGATAATGTGGACAAATTGGAACCCTCATTTACTGCTTCTGGGAATATAAATGATGCACCCACTTTGGAAAACCATCTGGCGTCTTTCAAAAGGTTAAACACTGAGTAATCACAGGACCCAGCAATCCTACTCCTCAGTACGTACACAAGAGCAATGAAAAGATATGTCTACACAAAAACTCACACACAAGCATTCATAGCAGAATTATTCATGATAGCCAAAAAGTGGAAACAACCCAAATGTCCATCAACTGATGAATAAAATGCAATATATCCATACAATGAATATCACTGAGCAATAAAAAGAAATGAAATCCTGGTATTTGCTACAACATGGATTAGCCTTGCAAACATTGTGCTGAGTGAAAGGACCACATATTCAATAATGCTGTTGCTATGTCCAGAGTAGGGAAATCCACAGAGACAGAAAGTAGATTGGTGGTTGCCCAGGGCTGGCAGTGACTAATGGGTACAGGGTTTCTTTTGGGGGTGAAAATGTCCTGAAATTACATAGTAATGATCATTGTGCAACTTTCAATATACTAAAAATCACTGAATTGTACATCTTTTTATATATGTAGATATATTTTATATATATATGCATATATATACATATATACGTATATACGTATACATACATATATACGTATATATGTATATATACATATACACATACATATATACATATACATATATACGTATATATACATATATACACATATACATACATACATATACAGATTATATATATGTATACATATATACACATACATATATACATATATGTATGTACGTATACATGCATATATACATATATGTATGTACATATACATGCATATATACATATATGTATGTACATATACATGCATATATACATACATATATGTATACATATATATACAGATTTTACATATATATATATATATATATATATATGGTCTGTGAATGGTATTTTAAAACAGCTGTTACTTAAAGAAAGGAAAATTATAGACTGGGTGCGGTGGCTCATGCCTGTAATCCCAGCACAATGGGAGCCTGAGGCAGGCAGATCACCTGAGGTCAGGAGTTCGAGACCAGCCTGACCAACATGAAGAAACCCCGTCTCTACTAAAAAAATACAAAATTAGCCGGGCTGGACAAGGTGGCACATGCCTGTAATCCCAGCTACTCGGGAGGCTGAGGCAGAAGAATCGCTTGAATCCAGGAGGTGGAGGTTGCCGTGAGCCGAGATCACGCCATTGCACTCCAGCCTGGGCAACAAGAGCGAAACTCCATCTCAAAAAAAAAAAAAAAAGAAGAAGAAAGCAAAATATATGCGAGACGTAGACTCTCCAAATAATAGACTTTCAAAATAATGAACAGAACAACTTTATCCACAGGTTAGGGTGGCATGAGTTTCATCTAAATGTGATACTATTTTTATAGTACAATCATCTGGCAGGGGCATGAGATTATATGTGGAAAGATGGCCCAGTGCAGGGGGCAGAAATCAAGAGATCTCTTAGGTGTCTTCTGATTCCCGTTGTTGAGACCCAAGGCAAGCTATTTAACAACTCCGGACTCTAGATTCATTTGTAACACTGGAATAAGAATGCCTTTCCTGAATGGTGTCACAAGGATGTTTGATGGCTCAATGAAGCAAGAGCGATAACTGTATTTACTAAAATTTAAGTTACTGAATTACAATCTAGGGTCCTGCTATTTAAATTTTCATCCTATTTTAAGAAATCTGCATGAGTCCTTAGAGGAAAACAACTGAAGCAAATAAACATCACATCAAAAACAATTCATCAGGCTGGGCGCAGTGGCTCACGCTTGTAATCCCAGCACTTTGGGAGGCTGAGACGGGTGGCTCACTTGAGGCCAGGAGTTCGAACCAGTCTGGCCAACATGGTGAAACCCCGTCTCTACTAAAAATACAAAGAAAGTTAGCTGGGCATGGTAGTGCACACCTGTAATCCCAGCTACTCAGGAGGCTGAGGCAGAAGAGTCACTTGAACCTGGAGGAGGTTGCAGTGAGCCAAGATTGTGCCACTGCACTCTAGCCTAGCTGACAAAGAGAGACCCTATCTCAAAAAACAAAAAAAAAAATTCATCGCCAGAAAAAACATTTAACTCTTTAAAATTTGTAGGAATCTTAAGCTATTAAGATGACCAACGTAAATGTCTTCATTTTCTATCAATTTTAAATATAAATTCAATATTTAAACACGAGGGTGAACTAGGCATAGTGGCTTATGCCTGTAATGCTACGCTTTGGGAGGCCGAGGTGGGCAGACTGCTTGAGCTCAGGAGTTAGAAACGAGCTTGAGCAACATGGCAAAACCTCATCTCTATCAATAAATAAGTAAATAAACATAAGAGTAAACCCAAACAAACCCAAACAAAGTACAGAGATTGAAGATTAAGTGTAAATAAAGAAATAATATATGACAAATAGTAAATGTGATAAAATAAAAATTAAAAAAAAAACCAAAATATCAAGCTTACATAAAGTTGCAACTTCTCGCATAGCCCTAAATGGCCGCAATAAGTACTGGAAGAACGTGGTTGCCACGGTAACTAATTCCTGGTAGGCTTCATCTTCCTCTTGGTAAACTTTCATTAATGCTACCATGGTGTTGGCTTTTCCGTGTCCTTGAATAACCTAGAGAGCAAATGTGAATAAAGCTCAAGTCAGGACAGTGTAATACATACCCAACAAACAAAGCTAAACGAAAGAAACCTTCATGTTCTCAACTTTCAATACATCAATTTAAAATATTGATTAAATACGAAAATGTTATCATTCTCCATCAAAAATGCCCAATAAAACAAGAATTGTTAAGAAAATTATGATATATCCATGGCAGAATATTATTAGTGTAGTCATTCAGCACTGTGCTTCTGAAGATTGTTTAATAATATGGAGACTTTTGGCCAGGCACGGTGGCTCATGCCGGTAATTCCAGCACTTTGGGAGGCCGAGGCGGGTGGATCACTTGAGGTCAGGACTTCGAGACCAGCCTGACCAACATAGAGAAACACTGTCTGTACTAAAAATACAAAATTAGTTGGGCGTGGTGGCGCATGCCTGTAATCCCAGCTACTGGGGAGGCTGAGGCAGGAGAATCGCTTGAACCTGGGAGGCGGAGGTTGCGGTGAGCCGAGACAGTGCCATTGCATTCCAGCCTGGGCAACAAGAATGAAACTCCGTTTCAAAAATAAAAAGAGACTTTTATAATTAAATGGAGAGGCAGAGTATAAAATTTAATCTCAACTGTGCACTAAGTATGCAGCGAAAAGGACCCAAAAGAAGGTTTGAGGTTGTGGATATTTTTTCATTTGACTTTTCTGACTGTAAAGGTTTTGTGAGGCTGTATTCCTTTTTAAAAGCTCATAAGGGCCAGGCGTGGTGGCTCACGCCTGTAACCCCAGCACCTTGGGAGGCCACAGCAGGCGCATCACAAGGTCAGGAGAACGAGACCATCCTGGCTAACACGGTGAAACCTGTCTATACTAACAATACAAAAAATTAGCCGGGCGTGGTGGCGGGCGCCTGCAGTCCCAGCTACTGGGGAGGATGAGGCAGGAAAATGGCGTGAACCCGGGGGGCAGAGCTTGCAGTGAGCCAAGATGGCACCACTGCACTCCAGCCTGGGCGACAGTGCAAGACTCTCTCAAAAAACAAAACAAAACTCAACTAAACAAAATCTCATAAAACATTACAGAGCTGTCTCCAAGTACTTTAGCATGTTGATTCTCTTAATGCCCCAGGTTAATATTCCCATGAAGTCCTTAGCAGTCAACTCATTTACAGAGCCTCAGCTGTGGTTCCGGTCTCTGCTGGTTATTGCTTGTGCTGCAGGGCAGAAAGCAAACTGAACAGTGTATAATCTAGGTGGACTGATTTGGTTGGAAATTATTTTACTCCCACAAGAAGAGAAATAAAATCAAATAATATAGATTTTTTTCAACCAATACATTCTTAAAGTCTTCTATTTCCATCCTTCTGCTTAAGGCTAAAGTGATCTACTTTCAGCTGTATTTTTTATCCAGGTAATAATATTATCATTTTTTTTAAGTGAAAGCCTCACTGAACAAAATTAAAACACACAAGCAAAAGTCAAAAGGCAAGTGGTACATTTCAGCCTTCTTTCTTAGACTATTCAGAAAAATTCCGGAGTTAAAACATTCAGCTTCATTTTATATATCCTAGCAATCCTAGCAATTGGTCTAATTCTAGAATCAATTACTTTTCTATTCTAAATATAAAGTAAATATTAAAATTATATATTTGGACATGTGAAGTTTAGCTTCCCCTCTCAACCCCTCATTTTTGAGTTCCAGATAAATATGTGAACTACACTAACGTGAACAACTAGCTCAACAGAATGAACTACATTCATGCTATAGTACCCCAGAGTGAACTTAAATTTGGGAAAACTAACTTTTCTGATAGCAACTACAGTAAAATACACCATATAAATGTTCGATTTTAAGGAGAAACCACCTATCTCTGTGAGAAACCAAGTGTTTAAAAAACAAGTCTGATACAAAATGATACCATTTTTGAAACTCCCCTGTGGGTTCCTCATATCCTCAGGTGAAAGTTATAAAGTTGAAGATGAAAAGCTGACTGGCCTGAAACTCCCCTGTGGTTTCCTCATAGTCTAAAGTGAAATCAACACGTTAAGTGGGTGTGTAGACATTTACACATAAAGCTCACAGTACAAAAATGACCCCACTAACAAGCTCCTTTTATAAAACCATTTTAATTTAGAAAGCTTATTCTATATTTAGCTTAGGCTGAATTCTTCTTTTCACCTCCCCTTCCTCAAAAGAATGCACAGAAAAATATCATTCAGGTTAATAAGAGCAGTGAGCCGAGACTCCAGCCTGGCTCTGCTTAGTAAACCGTGGGTGTGGATTTAGAAGGCATACTTTCTCCTAAACCCTTCTATGAACATGTACTTCCCCGTCCCCTAAGTTCAGTAAGTTTACCACTCAATTACTCTCTCAAACTACCTCTTTCAAGCTTAAAAGGGCACTAATGCGGTTAAACTGATGAATAAAGCTCACTTTCTACCGGCTTTCCATTTGACCAAGTCTGTATTACTTAAAACAAAACACCCTAACTCCTAAAAGCCATTTCTTCCTTTAAACCATTTTATCCCACTTGCGACGTCCCCGCAGACACAGACTTAGAATTGTTTACGTGTAGTCCGTGTTATTCTTTCCTACATGGATGGGTTGTTTTCAGTTTGCTTGCAGTATTTCTGACATTTCCCGTTACAACATCCTGCTCTGCCAGCATCTTCAGGGCAAAGGTTGGGGGCCTAGCCCAGCTCCCAGCGGCAAGTACACTAGGCTCTTAACTTCGCTTGTCCTCTCTGCAGGCCCTGCCGAAGCTCCCCCTGGTTTCCCGCAGCGATCCCGCGCAGGTGAGGGTACTGGGGAGCCCGTGGCCTTCTCCGCCCGCCGGCTCCTCCCCATCAGCCGTCAGCCAGGGCTCTCGGCGCCGGGGAAGCCTCCCACAGGGTCCCAGGCCACCCAAGCGCGGTCAAACGCCGGCGGCCCGGCCTCGCTTACCTGACGCAGCCGCGCGTCCGCCTCGACCCATCAGGCGCGCAGGGCCCGCTCCCGAAACTCGCGCGGGCTCTCGCAGTCGGCCGCGCGGCCCTTAGCCGCGAAGAGAGCGTCGCGCACGGTGGCGCCGCCACAGCCGTGGGCCGCCGCGCCCAGGTAGCGCTCCAGCTGCCCGCAAAGCTCCTGCAGCGCCGCCTCGCCGGGGCCCACGCGCGCCGGCCAGAGCAGCGCCCACCGCCCGAGCCCCAGACCTCAGGCCCCGCCGCCGCCCACGTCCAGCTCCGGCGGCAGCCGTGGGAAGCAGTGTTCCAGAGGCGGCCACAGCGCCGCTGGCTGCCGGCGCGCGCCGCGGAACCCCGCGGCCGAGAGCCGGCCGGCCCAGCTGGGCGGGGACACGGCGGCCTCGGGCTTGTGCTCCAGCCCCAGCCGGGCCCCCTCGCGCCGCTGCGGCTGCTGCGCGGTGCGGTCGTGACAAGTCACAGCAAACTTGCCCTCCGCGCCGTTCCAAGCCACCAGGAAGCGCAACCGGTGCCTCTGGGGATCGGCGAAGAGGCCCTCCCGGAGCGGCGCCCAGCCCTCCAGGCTGTCGGGCTGCTCGTCCTCCATGGCCGTCGGCGGCAGCGGCCCTAGGGCTTGGCGGGCGCGGGCCTGACCTCGTCGCACCGCCTGTCAGGGGACAGTCCCAGGTGAAGCATTTTTCGCTCCACAATTGGTATTTTAACAATATGAATGAAAAAAAAAAACCTCAGCTGTTTTGATAGAAATAACAAACGTGCCTAGGAATCATCTTCCTTGAAGGGAGAGGAGGGTCTTACTGAACTTGAAAAAACTAAATAAGCAAAGTTGATACATAAGGACACCCTTCTCTTTACCCTTACCTATTCTTAACAACTTTAATTCATTTCTGACACTGTCACCAACTGAAAAAGGGTCCAACTAAAAAAAAAAAATCATAAAGGTGAGAAAAATTGTGACGTGTTCTATCCTAATCCAATATATCTAAACCAATTTTACTGATAGAGAAAATATATTAAGTGAATGATGTAAATACATTAATATAGGTAACAACTCTTTGAAAGTAAAGTTTGCACATAACATGAAATACATAGAGAATTACTGCCGTCTCGAAGGAGAGAACCCTTGATGGGGAGTGGTAGTCAAAAAGGTGTATGAGCAAGTCATCTGTTGCAAGGTGATGGGAGGAGATTTTTATGCAGGCATTCAATATCAGTCAGAGGTTTTAATGATTTTTGTTTTTTATCTTGAGAGTTGGAGACTAGAAGATCTAAAATAGGAAAATTTTGGCATATCCATAGATAGAATGGAAGCTCTTGGCCAAAAATAACGTGCTCCAAGTCATGAAAAATAGCACACATGCACAATTAACTACAGAGTTACACAAGATGGTGTCTTTTCATTCGATTTTATTTGAACTCTTATTCTTCTCTATCTTTTACGCTTTGTATCCTTGTTAAATTAACTCTTCCATTTTTTCCTCATCCTATGGGGTACTTTAAACATTTTATTCAATAACTCTTAAGGCAATTTTTACAATTCTATTCACATATAAAATTGTCATAAGCATGTTTTGTGAGTGAAAAATTCTAATTTGTAATGCATATCAAGTGAAAAGCCTCAGTTCAGCACTCGTCATATCCAAAATCTGTGTTATATAATAATGTAAAAGACATATTTTCACACATGTAGCTCAAATGAGATTCTTACTTAACATTTCTTTTTTTTTTTTTTTTTGAGACGGAGTCTCGCTCTGTTGCCCAGGCTGGAGTGCAGTGGCGCAATCTCAGCTCACTGCAAGCTCTGCCTCCTGGGTTCATGCCATTCTCCTGTTTCAGCCTCCCAAGTAGCTGGGACTACAGGTGCCCGCCACCACGCCCGGCTAATTTTTTGTATTTTTAGTAGAGACGGGGTTTCACAGTGTTAGCCAGGATGGTCTCGATCTCCTGACCTCGTGATCTGCTCGTCTCTGCCTCCCAAAGTGCTGGGATTACAGGCGTGAGCCACCACGCCCGGCCTACATTTTACAAAATTTAACTCAATCTTTTATTTTAAAAAATGTGCATATACTGCCTGTTCAAGTACTTACTCTTTTTATTTATTATTTGAAATTGGAGGTCCATCTTTTTAGATTGTTAGGAGGTCTTCACATATTTGAATGAGTTATTAAGTTGATACAATCATTTTGGAAAAATAATTATCATTATCTACTACATTTAAACACATAATTTATGACTAGCAGTTTCAACAGAAACACCTGGATGTTCATCAGGCTAGAATGGATTGGAAAGCTCCATATTCATTCAACAGGGTGCTACACAAAACAAAAAGGAATGAATCACTGGTCCATAACATAAACAGATTTCACAAATGTAATTTTGAGTGAAATAAGCCAGAAAAAAATAAATACCATATGCTTCCATTTATATGAAGACAAAGATAGGCAATATTAATCTATGGTAACATGTGAGACTGACTTCTTTTTCTCAGCATCAGCTGAGAGCCTGAAAAATATTTTTCTGGGGTGCTAAAAAAGTGCCAGATCTTAAAAATATTTGTACAAAAGATAATAATATTTGTTTTTTATATAAATAGGTACAAAACACAAATATGTACAAAAATGTATTTATAAATATGTTAAACAAGATTACTATTTATACTTCAATATGATTTTTTTCACTTTTGTTGACATTAGTAAACCATCACACTTAATAAACAGCCATTTGGAATTGTTCTTGATTTAGGTATTTCCTTGATTAAATACCAAGTAGGAACATACCTTGATTCTAAAATATAAAGAATATTATTCCATGAAAGTTTCCATGAAAACTATTTTGCATTCTAAAATATTTTTAAAAGTACTTATTTTCAAAGTTCAGTTTCCTATTTTAAACAAAAGTTGAGCTAAATTACATATAAGCTAGTCCCCAAAATATTCAGTAAATATCAAATGAAGGTGTGAAAGTTAAAGATTTCATTTTACTAGTTAATTTGCAGTGCTATTATTTTGCTTAATAAACAATTTTATGCTAGAAATAAGCAGATTTCCCTATTCACATTATCTTTACCAAGAGAACTTAAATAAATACCATTGATTACTTGCAAAATACAGATTGTAGATTCAGAGCTCAAAACTAAACCTCTGAGGATGTAATTCAATTAAAACAACCCATAGTTGTGAATTCACCTCACCAGTGTCCCTAAGACAAGAAGCTCTTTCTCACATCAAAGTGAATTATTTTAATTCACTTTGGATGTTAGGAATATCCTAACTCCTTTGTAATTAAAAACAAAAACAAAACTTCTGATGCTTCTTTATATCTTAACAATCATGAGGTCTATAAAAATATGAACACAGAAGTTTGGGTCAGTTCAATGACTGAACTAAAACATTATTTCCCAACATGTCCATGTTTTACAAGATGATGGGGTTGTTATCGGTGATGCCATTGCAAAGATCTTGATGGTTCCAAAACACTAAGCATCACATAAGCCATGTTATAGCTGTTGCCCCAGATTTACCAAACCATTTGGATTAAAACTCTCAGTAAGGACCTCTGAAGCACAAAGATATATGAGTAACTCCTTAACCCCTTTGCTCTTACTCTTCAGGTACAAGTTCAAATTTTCACCTTTCCCTTTCTGCACTGACCTTGGGAAAGTCACTTTATCTCTGTGATCTAATTTTCCACATCAATAATGTATCTATACTTGGCATAGAGAGTTATGAGAATAAAATAATAACATATATGGGCAATTTCTGTGAATACCAATTGTATAGGTGGATTTTTAAATAATAGATTTAGGGCCGGGCGCAGTGACTCACACCTGTAATACCATCACTTTGGGAGGCCGAATCGGGTGGATCACCTGAGGTCAGGAGTTTAAGACCAGCCTGACCAACAAGGTGAAATACCGTCTCTACTAAAAATACAAAAATTAGCCAGGTGTGGTGGCGGGCACCTGTAGTCCCAGCTACTCAGGAGGGTGAGACAGGAGAATTGCTTGAACCCACAAGGCGGAGGTTGCAGTAGGCCGAGATCGCACCACTGCACTCCAGCCTGGGCGATGAAGCAAGACACCATGTAAAAAACAAACAAACAAATAAATAAATGAAATATATTTAGGAAAACTATTATAAGAAAAAATTTGAAAGCATTAAGAACTCTATTATGGACTGAACAAAAAAAGGAGAATTGGTACCATACCTTGGTAAGTTTATTTTAATAAGCCCAATTTCTATTAGTTCTTCAGTGTTTCCTCTTGCTCCGTGAATGTATGTTCCTTGCCTCTATCTTATCCCATTTTTTCTATTGTTAATGCACAGAGAGTTGTCGCAAGTTCTATTCTCAATGCCTACTGCATTGGGCAATAGATGACTCTGGTTCCCAACTCAGAAAAACCTCATTTTTAAGAAACGTTTGAGCTTTGACTTTGATCTCATTCAGAATATTTTGGTTCAAAAGTTTTTTGTTTTTTTGTTTTTTTTGAGACGGAGTCTCGCTTTGTCGCCCAGGCTGGAGTGCAATGGCGCGATCTCGGCTCACTGCAAGCTCCGCCTCTCGGGTTCACGCCATTCTCCTGCATCAGCCTCCCTAGTAGCTGGGACTGCAGGCGTCCGCCACCATGCCCGGCTAATTTTTTTTTTTGTATTTTTAGTAGAGACGGGGTTCCACCATGTTAGCCAGGATGGTCTCAAATCTCCTGATCTTGTGATCCGCCCGTCTTGGCCTCCCACAGTGCTGGGGTTACAGGTGTGAGCCACCACGCCTGGCCCAAGAGTCTTAAGTTTGTGTAAATAAGCACCTTTGAAAACTACATCTACAAATGGGAATATGGAATAAAAAGGACAAGCCAAAGGTTATGGAACAAAATAAAACATGAAGAAAGAGAAACACAATATTACTATATACAATATAGTAATATATTTTAAAATATGAAAAACGCTAGCAAAAAAAGCAATATGTAAACAAAAGAATTGGAGTAAAATAATATAATTTGAAACAGCACAATCTGCTGAAAATATACAAAAGACAAATTAGGGTATTCCTGAGCTCACTGTTTATAATATTAGAACATGTATATAAAAAGGAAAAGTGACTTTAAACTGTCTGGGGGCCAAGGAATATATAGTTTGTTACATTTTATTTACAAACAGTTTCTTTGACTAGGGAATCAATTTAAATTTTCTGTTTTGGAAATAATATAAATATATCTTTATTTTAGACTTTTTGCTGTAAAGTTTCTTAAATATTTACAACTTTAGGATAATCAGTGTACATTTCAATATATAATGTCCTAAAAATCAAACAGCTACCAAACATTGAATTGAAGTTCTGACTTATATAAATCATTTGCATAAAAACTGATCATTAAAAACAGTATCTAATGAACATTTTGGCCCCAATATTAATTAAAACTGAAATGATAGCATTACAAGCTAAAGATTAATTTCAATGACATGTCATTCAACCATTTTGACATAATTGACTTATAATAATCTAAAATTGACTATTTTTATGACATATTTGACATAAATGAAGAGAAAAAAGCTTCGACTCATTCTTAATTACTCATTCTAACCAATTGATGGCCAATAACTGAAATTAATTTCAAACCATTTTTTGTTATTTTAATCTTTTAAACATGTTTTACTTTCAGTGATTCATTTTCTAACATTCATAGCCAAAGCCCAGGCTCTACCCATCTTTGTCTACCTTAATGACTTTGTCAATTATTGGCATACACTGGGTCTTAAAAACTTGTGTTTCTTCCGAATTAATTAATGAAGTAGAATTGCTCTTATAGGGTTTCATATACCATTACCTCCAAAAGAGTACATTAGAAGTATTAGAAAATACTGATATTTATAAACAGATATTTATCTTATGATACAAAGAGCCAGAGCTGTTTTATTTTCTGTAAAACTAAGAATAACTTCTTGATAACATAGCTTCACAAAAAGAAAACCCAACACATTTCCATAAATAATTCTCTGAAATAACTATGTGAGTTTGTGTCTTTTTATATACATGTAGATATACATATACTTACACATCTATACATATATATGTAACATAAAGGATATGAACATTAGGACTGTTTAAATGTCTATTTGTCTTGGAAAGAAAAATATACTTAAAAATATTTCTCAATTGGGATTTGTAATCGTACCAACTTAATTGATAAACTTGGCAACTGCTTTTATGTTCCGTCTCCTTCCATAAATTTTTCAAAACACTAATTCAACAAAGAAAAAGCTCTAATTTTCATTGGAAATAATTTATATACTTGTTTAGAGCAGAGAAAAATTAAGAAAAACTTTGAAATTGTCTCAAAAAATTGCTAAATATTTTCAATGGAAAACTAAATGTTAGTTTAGCTGATTGTATGGGGTTTCTGAACCTTTCACTTTTTGTTTGTTTTACCTATTTCACAACTGTGTAAATTGCAAATAATTCCTGTCCATGAAAATGCAAATTATCCAGTGTAGATATATTTGACCATCACCCTATGGATATTGGCTAGTTTTGCCTTTATTAAGCAAATTCATTTCAGCATGAATGTCTGCCTATATATTCTCTTTGTATTCTCCTTTGAACCAGTTAAAACATCCTGTGGCACTCTTATTTATTAATCAGTTAAATAAAATCATGAACATATATTCATTTTACATTTGTATGAGAACCATTATTTTTCTTTTCTTTAAAAAAATTAATTATCCTTTGACATTGGGTTGACATTTTCTTAAGACATGCCATAAAGAGAGGGTATCAAGTTTCTCAATGTCAGTTCTAGAGGAAAAAAAATTCTTTATAAAAATTTAACCTCATGTGTAACAGTTTCCATTCCCATAGCAATGACATTTGATATACATTGTATATATTAATCTGGGAATGATGTAAGATTCCAAGTATAATTTTATCAGTGAACTCAACTACTTGATTACTTTCACTTATTTAAATATCTAGTTCAATGTTGTCCAGTGGCATTGTGGATTTAGGTAATTTTACCAGGCAGCCGTTCAATTTCTGCACTTTCTGTTTGCCCATGCAGAACACAACACATTTTATAAGTCAAAGTATAGGCATCTGGTGGCATAATTTTAATTTGTTATCAAATAAAAGCCTCATCAAATTAGTCTAGAAAATAACTCATTATTTATTTTAGGACTGTATCACTATGTAATGAGATACAAATATATGTAAATGTAAGTGCCTAAGAGGCATGCAGAGAGCCTAAGATGTATGCAGTATGCCTAACAGGAATGCAGAGAGCTTCATTTCCATTGTCAGCTGCTCAGTTGTTTCTCAGGAAAGAAATGTGGCCAACGGACACCATTTAAGAGATATATAGCAACAAGTTCAGAAAATTCTCATAAATGGGAGTGGCTAATGCATAGACAATAGCATTGACCTTTGATCCATATATATATATATATATATATATATATATATATATATGTATATATATAGTACCTCAAATACATTTGGATCAATTTAATTGTGAGTGCTATAAACTACAAATGAAAGTAAAAAAGCAAATCTGTTGATATTTTAGAAGAATGAAAGATTATTAACTCATGGCCTGTATGTATTTGGAATGAGAAGGATGTACATAGCTTTCTTTGGATGGGTGGAATTGAAATTGTAATTTACAGTGACTAAAACCTGACTGCTTTCACAATTTTTTTCACTGTTGGGGGTGAAATTCTTGATTGATTTGTGCATTGGGAACTTTTTTTTTTTTTTTTGGAGACAGAGTCTCGCTTTGTAGCCAAGGCTAGAGTGCAGTGGCGGGATCTCGGCTCACTGCAAACTCCATCTTCTGGGTTCACACCATCCTCCTGCCTCAGCCTCCCAAGTAGCTGGGACTACAGGCGGGCGCCACCACGCCTGGCAAATTTTTTGTATTTTTAGTAGAGACGGGGTTTCACCGTGTTAGCCAGGATGGCCAGGATGGTCTCAACCTCCTGACCCTGTGATCCACCTGCCTTGGCCTTCCAAAGTGCTGGGATTACAGGCATGAGCTACCATGCCCCACCTTTTTTTTTCCTTTTCTTTTTTTTTTCTTTCTTTCTTTTTTTTTTTTTGTTAGTCCTTCCCTCCAGTGTCATGGAGATAATTGGAAAATGTTTTAGAGCAAAAAAGTTTATTTCTCCTTCTTGTTGTTAGCAAAGAAATTTATTTTTCCTTCTTGTTATTTATTGGCCTTGGAGACATACACCAAATAGCTCATTCTACTTCTGAAATTTTGTTTTGATTTCCCTGGCCCTCCCCATGAAGTATTTCAGATTAGCAGGGAGTCAAGCATTGTCTGTCTATCTGTGAATAAAATATTTCAGGCTGCTTTTGCATAATATACATGCTCTTGCCTTTACAAGTCACACTCACATCTGGTTTTGTAAAACACCAGGTAAAGAAGAAAACAATGTTTCTGAATTCTGCTTTATCAGCCCAGTAGAGAACTCCTCCCTTCCCTAAACTGAGGGCCACATCTAAGGGGTTGAAACAGGGCCAGTTACATTCTATGTTCCCAACATAATTGTCCGTGCACGGATCCAATCAAGTTAAATGAGAAATAGGATATTTATTCTAAAAACAAGTTATTGCTACAATAATAATAATAATACTATAGTAATATTATTATTCTAATAATGATATTAGAATAAAAACTGGTTATTAAAGTACTAAACAGTTGAAAATCTAAATGTCTCACAAGGTCAACTACAGCAAGTATGTAAGATTTAGTATTAGTCACACGTCAAAAATTATATCCATAAAAGTAATGACATATGAAAACAGTTTATTGATACAGATATAACAAATGTAACTAAACTGTGCTGAAATGTATTTTAAAATAAAATATGCCAAAATATTATTGATGATGACTTTGGATGATGGTATTACTACTAAGGTTTCAAATTTAATTTGCTTCTTACTTCTGAGTACTTTTATAAATTTTTAAATAATAAAATTAGTGTGTTAAAAATATCAAGTGATATCTAGAAATCAGAAAAAGGCATATTGCCAGAGGAGGACCGAGTTAGTAGATTTGAGGCTCCATTAAGTTTTGTTTATGATCAAAAACCAAACAAAAACCAGGCAACAGTGGCAAAAAATATCTCACTCCCTTCCTGGAAAAGTAAATGAAACTACAAAGAATTTCCAAACTTAAAAACTATACATTTCAAGTCTGTTCATAACTAGTGAAGTCACAGTTTCTGAAAACAATGATAAAATTTTAATTGATATTTAATTCATATTTTTTGTTTAAAAAACTATCAGTATTGGAAGATAAATTTCATGGGAAAAGCATTGAATCATTAAGTTTTGCAGTCACAAAGGTAAATATAATTTGCTTAATGCTGCCCTCAGCTTACAATGAGTCTTTAGTATTTTCTAAGCTATGAGTTCACCAAAATATAGGATTGTTTTGCTGCGTATAATTTGCTCAGTGATCAAACACAAAGGAGTTACCTATGTTAAGATGTGAATAATAAATTTATGGAAAATTTATGAAAGTGTACATTGGAAAGACAATAAAACTTTCCATTAAATTGGTGGAAAAGGAGCTCAAAACCTAGCTGGGTGATTCATTATTTTAATGACTTCCTGCTTTACTGCAAAACCTCTCTCTTCATTCGGTGTTGGTAGTTTGAGCCCCTGTTAAGGATATAGGCTCACAGTGAAGCTTCTATAAATTTCTGGACCTCTGTCATGCTGGCATGTATATCATTCTCCTTTAGGAATGATGAGGAGACTGGAAAGCGGTTGCTCCAAGGGAAGGGATAATTTTGCAAACCTGAGCTGTCTAAGCTCAGCATGAATTGGAGTGGGCTGCTGACTCAGGCTAGCAGAGGCAGCCAGGAAACATGCAAATCTGCAATCCGTTCTGCCAGGTCTGTCCCAGCAGGTGTCACTGAAGGCACCTCTGTGTGCTTGTCACTGTGGCAGCCTTGACAAGGAAGGTGGAAAGGAAAAAGAGACCCAGTGCTGAACTCCAAGCAGAGATGGGGCTTTTCTGTATGCATATTTTCCCTCCCCTCCCAGCCTGCATTTCCAATAACATATTGATTTATATTTGTATTATGAAACAAAAGTGGTTGTAATCAGATGTTCTTTCCTTTTACACACAATGTTAGCTCCTATTTACATTCCTAACTGAACAATGTCTAAAGAGGTACTTAAACTGATGTAAAACGCAGATAATCTCATGACCAAATGCTTAGCGCAAGAAAAAACTTCAATTTGCAAGAGAAGTCCCTCCAAATACAGAAAGGACCAGTATTGTAAGAGGTACCTTAACTAAAATGTGGCAATGGAAGGAGCAGAGCAGGAAGAACTTTTAAGTCTGAAACTTACAACAAGTCAATTTCATAGTCAGTTTCTCTGGTCCTTCCACAACAGCCTCCGGCACCTGTTTTCTCTACAATGGAGGTAACAATAGTAGCTATTTCAGAGCAGGAAAAGGCTTAGAGCAGTGCTAGAATATGGTCGTGGCTATATAAAGTTTAGCTATTTATATATTGTAAGAAACCTACAATGTGTTCTTTTATCGGTAGTCAGTAATGGATTTCTTGTGGGAAAGTAGCAGCCTCCTATGGGGGGAACACCTGCAGTTCCCACTAAGTGAACACTGGTGTCTGCTAACCTTTGCCTCTATTTGTCGCAATAATATACTGTCAAGCTGTTCCTTGAGTTAGCAATTTTATTTACATTCTTTTTCTTTTTTTTTCCTTTCCCTTTTCCTGCCACAGAGTCCCGCTCTGTCGCCCAGTCTGGAGTGCAGCAGCGCCATCATAGCTCACTGCCACCTAGAAGCTGGGGTGAAGCAATCCTCCTCCATCAGCCTTCAGAGTAGCTGGGACTACCTGCGCGGCCCACCACACCCGGCTAATCTTTGTGGTTTTTGTTTTGTTTTTCTGTTCTGGGTTTCCGCCGGGCGCAGTGGCTCAGGCCTGCAATCCCAGCACTTTGGAAGGCAGAGGTGGGCGGATCACCCGAGGTCGGAGACCAGCCTGACAAACATGAAGAAATCCCGTCTCTACTAAAAAAAAAAAAAAAAAAAAAAAAAAATCTACAAAATTAGCCGGATATGGTGTCTCATGCCTGTAATCCCAGCTACTAGGGAGGCCTATGCAGGAGAATCACCTAAATCCGGGAGGCCGAGGTTGCGGTGAGCAAAGATCACACCATTGCACTCCAGCCTGGACAACAAGAGTGAAACTCCGTCTCAAAACAGAGACCGGGTTTCACCATGTTGCCCAGGCGGTCTGGAACTCCTAGGCTCAAGCGATCTGCCGCACTCTGCCTTCCAAAGTCCTGGGATCACAAGGGGGAGGCACCACGCCAGGCCGATCTATTCCTTTCTGGTTACTAAATTGGACCGGGGGCGCGGTGGCTCATGCCTGCAATCCCAGCACCCAGGGAGGCGGAGGCGGGCGGATCACCCGAGGTCAGGAGCTCGAGATCAGCCCAACCAACACGGAGAAACCCCGTCTGTACCAAAAAAATAAAACCAAAATTAGCTGGCATGGTGGCTTATGCCTGCAATCCCAACCACTCAGGAGGCTGAGGCAGGAGAACCACCTAAACCCAGGAGGTGGAGGCCGCGGTGAGTCGAGACCACGCCACTGCACTCCAGCCTGGAAAACGAGCAAAACTCCACTAAAAAAAAAAAAAAAAAAAAAAAAAAAGACAGTGTTTCACCACGTTGCCCAGGCCGGTCTGGAAGTCCTAGGCTCAATCGATCGCTGCTCTCGGCCGTCCAAAGTACTGGGATCACAAGCATGAGCTACCACGCCAGGCCGATCTATTCCTTTCTGATTAATAAATTGGACTGGGTGTGGTGGCTCACGCCTGCAATCCCAGCACCCCGGGAGGCGAGGCGGGCGAATCACCTGAGGTCCACAGTTTGAGACCAGCCTGACCAAAAGTGAGAAACCCCGTCTCTTAAAAAAAAAAAAAAAAAAAGCCGGGCATGGTGGCTCACGCCTGCAATCCCAGCACCCAGGGAGGTGGAGGCAGGTGGATCACCCAAGGTCAGGTGCTTGAGATCAGCCCGACCAACACGGAGAAACCCCGTCTGTACAAAAAAAAAAAACACCAAAATTAGCTGGCATGGTGGCTCATGCCTGCAATCCCAGCCACTCAGGAGGCTTAGGCAGGAGAACCACCTAACCGGGAGGTGGAGGCCGCGGTGAGTCGAGACCGTGCCACTGCACTCCAGCCTGGAAAACAAGAGCGAAACTCCACTCAAAAAAAAAAAAAAAAAAAAAAAAAAAAGACCATGTTTCACCATGTTGTCCAGGCTGGTCTGGAACTCCTAGGCTCAAGTGATCCGCTGCGCTCGGCCGTCCAAAATCCTGGGATCACAAGGGTGAGCCACCACGCCAGGCCGATCTATTCCTTTCTGATTAATAAATTGCGCCGGGCACGGCGGCTGACGCCTGCAATCCCAGCACCCCCGGGAGGCTGAGGTGGGTGGATAACCTGAGGTCGGGAGTTTGAGACTAGCCTGACCAATATGGAGAAAACTGTCTCCACCAAAAAAAAAAAAAAAAATTAGCCAGGCATGGTGGCTCACTCCTGCAATCCCAGCCACTTGGGAGGCTGAGGCGGGAGGATCACTTAAAACCGGGAGGTGGAGGTTGCGGTGAGCCGTCATTGCACTCCAGCCTGGGCACCAAGAGCGAAACTCTATCTGAAAAACAAACAAACAACAACAAAAAAACAGGTTTCACCATGTTGCCCAGGCAGGTCTGGAACTCCCAGTCTCAAGCGATCTGCCTCGCTCCTGGGATTACACTGTGAGGGTAAATTTTATGTGCCATCTTGACTGGGCCACAGGGTGCTCGGATTAAACATTGTTTCTGGGTGTGTTTGTGAGTGTTTCCAGGTGACTTTAGCTTTTGAGTCAGTGAATTCAGTAACGTAGATGGCCCCATGGAGATGGACATCATCCAACCTGGTGAGGGCTTGAGTAGAACAAAGGGAGGAAGGGGAAATTTGCCCCCTTTCTTTCTGCCTCTTTGCTTGTGCTGGGACATCTCATCTTCTGTCCTGGGACTGGGATGTACACCATCAGCTCTCCTGGTTCTCAGGCCTTCTGACTTGGACAGAATTAAATCACCAATTTTTCTGAGTGTTCCAGCTTCCAGATGGCACATTCTTTGCCTTCATAATAATGTAAGCCATGACCCCATAATAAATCTCTTTTTAAGAAAATGTGGGACATATATATCATGGAATACTATGAAGCTATAAAAAGGAACAAAATCATGTCCTTTTCAGCAACATGGATGCAGTTGGAGGCCATAATCCTCAGGAAACTAACACAGAGACAGAAAACCAAATACTGCATGTTCTCACTTATAAGTGGGAGCTAATAATTAAGTCCTAATTCCTAGAACCTGTAGATGTTACCTCATTTGGAAAAAGCATATTTTCAGGTATGATTAAGTTAAGGATCTTGAGGAGAGATTATCCTGGATTGTCTCCGTGGGCATTAAATCCTGGCACATATATCCTTATAAGAGGGAGATAAAGGAGATTTAACTTCAGACAGAAGAGAAGGAGGCCCTGTGACCAAGGAGGCAGAGCCTGGAGTGGTGGAGCTGCAAGACAATGAATGCCAGCAGCCATCAGAAGCTGCGAAAGTCAAAGGATGGATTTTCCCCTCAGCCTCTGAGAGCACTGGCTCTGCTGATACCTAGATTTCAGCCCAGTGATACTGATTTTGGACTCCTGATATCCAAAACTGTGAGAAAATAAATTTCTGTTGTTTTAAGTCACCAAATTTTTGGTAATTTGCTCTAACAGCCACAGGAAACTAACATACATGCCTACCTGGGTCCAGTTGTGTCCTGTGACTCCTGCTTTCCTGGGACAGGCAGGCTGCTCCATGCCTCCTGGCCATCCTACTGAGTGCTGGACGCTGTAGGCTGCTCCATGCATGCCGGTCATCCTCCTGGGTGCTGGATGCTGCAGGCTGCTCCATGCCTGTTGGCCATTCCCTTTGGTGCTGGACAGCACTCGCGTTGTGAAATCCACTGGCCCTGTGAAAAACACCTGGAAATGTTACCAGGAGAGGGGTTAGTTCTCTTTTTGGCAACCCATGTTATTGCTTATGGCTTAATATCTGTGCCTCCAAGATCCCTTCTCTCTGCCTTCATCGATGCCAGGAAAGCAGTCACCTTTTGCCTTTCTTTGCTTCTCAGCAAGTGGCATGTCTCCATGTCACTTTAAGCATCAAGCACACGGAGCCCAATAAGATGCTGAAAAGTGTCTGCCTACAAGGTTACAAGGTGGTGGAGACATTCTGAGCCGGTAACTGCAGGGCTCAGTAAAACCGCTACAGGAAATCTCAAGTTCAAAATGCTGAAGTGAAAAATGGGTGATCACAACGAAGGGAAACACAAACCCCTTCTTTTAAAAACATTATGGTGATAAGGCACAACATAAAATTTACCATATTAACCACTTGTAAGTATACAGTGCAGTAGTGTTAAAAATATACATGTTGAGTAACGAGTTTCTAGAACTTGCTTCTCTTGGAGAACTGAAACTATAGCCACTATACAACAACTCCCCATTTCTCTATCCCCTGGCTTATGGAAACAACCGCTCTATTTTCTGTTTCTATGAGTTTGACTAATTTCAAACCTAATGTAAGAGAAATCGTACAGCATTTGTCTTTGTGTGATGGGCTGATTTCAATTAGTGTAATGTTTTCAAGGTTCATCTATATTGCAGCATGTGACAGGGCTTCTTTCTTTTTTAAGGCTGATAATTTTATAGTATTCCGTTGCATGGATAGACCACATTTATTTATTTATTTATTTATTTATTTATTTATTGAGACAATCTCACTCTGTTGCCCAGGCTGGAGTGCGGTGGCATGATCATGGCTCACTGCAGTCTGAATCTCACATTCTCAAGCGATCCTGCCGCCTCAGCCTCCTGAGTAGCTGGGACTACAGGCACATGACACCATGCCTGGATATTCATCTTTCTGTGTAACTGGTTGAGAAACAGGGGAGTAACAGTGAAGAAACGGTCTTAGAATAAATCTGGTGACAGCAGAAGAGAATATGAGACAGATTGTGCTCACAGAGCCTTGAAGAGTGTGACAGTATTTGAGGGCCACGCTGTTGTCTTAGAGTGAAGTGAGGAGAACCTACACTGGTTTGGTAGTCATGGGAATGGAAGGAGGAAAGAAATGTGAAAGCTCATTGGCGGCAGAGTCAAAATGGCTTGGTCTTTGTAGTCAATGCTTAGGTGAGAAGGAGGAATTACTGGCTGACTTAGAAGAAGTAAAAAATGTGAAATACCGATAAAACACAAATCTCGCGATTTTAGTCAGCGTACAGACTAACCATTGTGTGATTCTAGATATATTATTAAGCAGTTTTGTTCCAGTATTTTATATCCCATATCTTCTAGCTATGACCCTATTTCTTTGTTTCTTGACATAGACAAACATTTTTTAAACTAAGAGCTTTATTGTGATACAGTTTTTGTATGATAAGCCTCACCCTTCAAGTGTACAGTTCAGTGGTTTTTAGTATATTCAGAGTTATGCAGCCATTACCACTCCCTAATTTCAGAACATTTTCATCTCCCCAAAAAGAACCCCGTACCCACTAGCAGTCACTCCCTGTACCTCTCTCCCCCACCATTGATCCTGGCAACCTCTGATCTAACTTCTATCTCTGTAGATTTGCCTATCCTGGGCATTTCATATAAATAGAATCATACAAAAGTGGCATTTTGTGACTGATTTTTCTTTACAGTGATTATAAATCAAATGCCTGAAGACGCTAAGCTTAGGATAGTGTTTGCTGTACAACTTTGATAACTGAACTTTTGTAAAGCTGAAAATGTGACTGTGTCTGTATATGTGGCATATTATCCTTAGATGATCCTTACTTCGATTATTAAGAATTTTTTCCCCTAGTAATCTTCAACTGTCTCAATATTCAGCAGGAACCCCTTGGAGACAAAGATCAGTATGAATTTGGAACACCTATTGACAAAATGAATGTAATTTAATTTAGTACAGTAGTAAAGTCAACCACTTTTAGGTGTTGATGCTGCTGAAAGTGTATATTAAGGAAAAGTTTACTTACCCTACTTTTTGTGGAGGTGCTAGAACTACTTCTGTCTTGTGTTTAGATTTCAACAGACCTTTGCATGGGCATTATGTGGTTGCACAAATGTACTTCGTTTTGACCTGAAAATGCAAAAACTTCCTTTCTTCCCACTTTCTGAGACTCTGCAACCTTAAAGGAAGAGTGGGGTTCTTTAAAGGAAAGGTGGTGGTGGTTGGGTCATGGGTAACAATGTCTACTGTGTACTTCCTTTCCCAAAACAAGTCCCTGTCTACCGTCAGCATTTCGAAAATTTGAAGATCAAGTGTGGTGTTAACTCATGAACTAATGACTAGACTTTGAGCGGTTGTGGCAGCAAAATCTCAGTGAGTGCCTGGATGTTCTAATTCTGTTAAGTCAGTGAGTGCATATTCTGTACAATACTCTCTTAGCCCAGTGGCAGGTTTAAGGAGTGGGAGAGAGATTTCTATGTTTCGGAAATCAAATACACAAAGAATAAAAATTTTTAATCCCATGATTCTTTGCCCGAGTTTAATTTTTTGGAGAGTTTTTCTTTTAGATTTTCTTTCCCTTCCATTAAACTTTTACTTAGAAAGGTCCCAGGGTTTGGGCAAAGCAAGTGGGAAAGATACTTGCTTGGATTCTCCAGGATAAGGGATTGAAGAGGACTTCTTTCCCTCATTTTATTATTGAATAATGTCACAATAACAATTATTAAGGTGAATAGTCTACAGTGGAAGTTTTTAGATGCCTTGTCTGCAAAATAATTTGGTTTAGTCAACCCAGGGATGCCTTTGGTTAGCTGGAATGGGAGATGTGCAGGTTAGAGTGGTCTTGGCAAGTCTTCCAGGGGGAAATACAGCATTTGGAAGGGTAGGAAGCAGAAGGAATCTCAGGCAAGGGAAAGGCGTGGGCAGAGCCCCGGAGGACAGAACAGGTTGTGGTGGACTTGGTGTCCACATAGACCTAATTAGTGGTCTTAGCTTTTGTGTTTTCAAAATTACCACAGTTTGTGTTCTAAAACTGTCATTCTCTTGATTTTATTTTAGACATACTATCTGTGTATTTTGAAATTTAAAATAACAGTAAAGGAGAAACGAATTTATTTTGTTTGAGAAAGAGTTAAAAGGTTAAAACATCTTGATCTTAATAATTTTCTAAAGGGAGATTTGGTACACCCCCAGAAGTTGTCTTTGGTTCAGAGAATAGTCTTCAGATCTAGAAAGGACTTGAGAAGTCCCAGAGAGGTGCTGCATGGTCTGAACCATTTGATTCTCACGACAGAATGGATAAAAACAATTTGAACCAGGAAACCATGCAGATGTTCATATTTTGGATAGGGTAAGGTCAGTGCCGTCGTCAGAGGAAAAACTCTCGGCCATCACAGGATGGGAGAGAAAGTTTGAGTTGTGAAGAATACTCAAATGCCGTTTAAGGAAACGGGTTCTTCTGCACCTATTCTTTGGAATATTTAGGGCTAAGTTCTTAGTTTTTGACATCATAAAAATGTCAAAGTATTCTGTTCTAAGAGCCATTTCAAACAACTGACTAGAATTTCAGAGCAATTACATGAGAGTAATACCATTAAAATGTTTAAATTACCCATAGTCCTATATCCCTAACAAGTATGTTCACGCTTGCATGTCCTCTTCTCATCTTTACTGTGTGCATACTTAGTAATGGCACGTAGACATTGTTTAAGCAGGAATAATTCTCGAGATAATTTTGTATGTTTCCTTTTTTCTTTTTAAGGTAGGTATTGGGTGGAGGAGCATTATATTTGCAACTTCTCGCAAAACACGTGATTATTTTCTTATAATATTCAATTTTCACCCTCAATACAGTGTTTTGATTATGTAATTTAGATAGAAAGTAGAAGGTTCTCTTAGAGAAATTTTAGTGTTTTTTTTTCATAGCTCCTACTTTCAAGAATGAAAAAGGTAAACCAGTAAAATGACACTGTACTTGGTGCTGAATCTATGCCGGGATAGGCATTAAGAGTGACCTTTATTTAAGGTTCTAATTTGCTCATGTTGGGCACTTAGAACGTCAGTTTGTTGCTTTTTGTGAGATTCTGGAAATGGTCCAATTTTACTTTTTCCCCTTGACTCCAGACTTTTTAACACTGATGTGCTGCTGTTGAGGCATATGCCGTTTTGTTAGGCCTCCTCAAGTGGGAGTCAGGAATGCTGCTGTGTTCCAGAGAGGTTTTGTTCTTCCTGTAGGGCTGAAGCAGTGCCTACTCAATAGAACCAGTCATCGTGCAAAGAAATGCCACCTGACTCAAAGGCAAAGCCAGAGTGCAGCTTGGAGCAAAGAAGGTATTTTATTAAGAATTTTACATAAACCATAAGATATATTTTATATTACTTTGCGAGCCTTCTTCCTGTCTTGACTTAATTCTTTTTGAGAGAATTCATTTCATTTTCATTTGGTTTGTTTTCTTCTTGTTACAAAGATGATGTATAGAAAATATAGAAGTATAAGAAAATTAAAGATACTAACTGATAATTGCTTAATGATTTAGTATCTGCTTGTTTAGTCTTTGTTATATTTACAGTAGGCAAACATGTCTACCGTTGTAAATTTATTACTGGTATGTATACCCTAGTAAGTTAAAAGTTATATGTACTTTGAAGTTTTGCAAAATTGAGTTCATATTATAGAATTAATTCCTGATGAACTTTTATGTGCTAGGCACTGGTCTTTTTATTTAATTATTTATTTTTACTTTTTTTTCCTCTGTGCCTATGCTTACCAAGTCTTTTTATTTTTTACTTTTTATTAACTCTTTTAATCCTCTGAATAAATTGAAAAGAGGGTATTATTAATATCTGCATTTTGTAGATGAGGTAACTGAAGGTAGGTAACTTGTCCAAGGTCACAGGTGGCAGAGCAAGGATTAAAACTAGACAGTCTGGCTGCCCAAGGCCCAACGAAGAGGAGCTGAGAGCAAGCCACCGGGCAGAAGGATGTTGGTCAGGCTGGTTTCCTGTTCAGTTAACATGAAACACAGGCTTAACCTTAATTCTAGGACGTTACCGAGAAAGCCTTCCAAAGCCATAGGTTTTTTACCATGACCATGACTTTTTTTTTTTTTTTTTGAGACAGAGTTTCACTGTGTAGCCCAGGCTGGAGTGCAGTGGCGCGATCTCGGTTCACTGCAGCCTACCTCTCTTGACAGTCCACTGGTTAAAGTGATTCTCCTGCCTCAGCCTCCCGAGTAGCTGAAATTACAGGCACTGGCCACCACGCCTGGCTAGCTTTTGTGTTTTTAGTAGAGACGGGGTTTCACCGTGTTGGCCAGGCTGGTCTTGAACTCCTGACCTCAAATGACCCACCTCTGCCTCCCAAAATGCTGGGATTCCAGGCGTGAGCCACCGTGCCAGGACCTAAGGCCCTTAAGTTTTAACGTCTCATTCTTCAGTCAGGTTTTCCTTGTTCCTGCGTGTTCAGCCATTTGTTTTTAAGTTTGTGTTGAAGGAGAAACTAACAATGAAAATGGACTTGTTGACGGAAGAAAAGTAGGAATGCAGCCTCTGGTGCTGTTTGAGTGATCCCTCTGCCCCAGGCCTGGCTGTGCGCTGCTGTGTTCTGGAAAGGCGCATTGTGCCCTCGCTGTGGCAGGTAAGAGTCCTGTACAGGTGCTCTGCCCACTTTACCTTTCAGGCTTCTGTATCAGCTGTTTTTCCCTTGTAGAATGTGCCCCTGACCTGTGCCCCTGACTTCCACCCCTTAACCCTGCCCAATACATCTTTAGATGTCTGACCATCAAGACTCTTCTGGGTCATATTCAGTTCATGCTGATATTTTCCCTTCCTCCCCTCTTTAGTCCTTACTATTTTTGCTTTGGTCATGTTATGCTATATTCTGTAAGCCTTTAAAAATTTTGTTGTATCATGGCAGGGGAGAATATTTTATAATTATGCTTTGTGCGTTTTATCTTCCACTTAATGAATGCTTGGTAAATATTTGTTTTATTGAGTATATGACCCTTTTCTAGCTATACTGTGAACAAAAATGTTAACTGTCTTGTAAGTTAACTGCTAAGAATTTGTCAAAAGTGCAGAGATGACATCCAGAACTTGTCAGAATATTACAAAAAGGTCTCTAGGGGCATGACGGAGGTCTGTAAATTGACTTCATGTGAAAGAGTGTAAGAAGCGAAAATGTGAAGCATGACTGGAGAGCCGGAGTGATAAAGCAAGGGTCCCTTTCTCCAGATCCTTTGTAACAGTGTCATGTGACCTCTTCTAGATCATTCTGAAAGACAATGCCAGCTCGGAACCTAGGAAAGCATCCAGTGGGTTTCTGCATGTTAGGTGGTTCAAATCCTCATTAGCACCTTTGTTTTCTCTGCCTCAGTTTGCTTACAGTGATGTTCTCAGTAGCTGTAATTGCTCTCTGTCTTTGAATATTTAAGCATTTTTTTTTAGATCACAGGGTGTATATGTCCATTTTTATTTTACCAAGTGTTAGAATTTTTACTCTGCCTTTGTGGGCTCTGGGTTAGCTGCTTGGTTGTTTCATCGTAAAATGATTAGCAGGAAAAACTGTGTGTGTGTGTGTGTGTGTGTGTGTGTGTGTATTTTAAGTTTCTTAATTGGGTTGGTACATGTAAACCATTTAGAACAGTGCCTGCTGCATATCACATCCCCATCGGTATTCACGTCTCTCATATTCTACCCTCACACTTGATTGATAGTTTGCTTGATTATGTATTTCTAGGTTGAGGATAATTTTACCTTAGAATTTCAAAGTCTGTGCTGTTGTCTTCTAACCAGTCGTGGTGGTGAAGCCTCATGCCATCATGAGTTTCACTTGTTTATGCATTACTTTCTCTCTGGAAGCTTTTAGGAGTTTGTCTTTTCCTTGGTGAGCTGAAATAGCACAACAGTGTACTTAGTGTGGGTCTTTTTTCATTCATTATGCTGGGTACACCAAATGAACAGGCCAATGGATAGGCTCTTTCAAAGTTGGAGTCTTGAATCTTGTCATATTTTGTTGTTAACTTTCTCTTTTCCATTTTATTTGTTCATTTTGAAGTGTCTGTTAATTGGATTTTAGACCTCTTGTCCTGAGTGTTGTATCTCACGTTATTTCTAAATTTTTTAAAATTTTAAGTTCTGGAATATTTTCTTATCTTTTGACTTTCAGGAAATTTTATTTGGACTGTCATAACTTTAAGTTTTGTTTTGGTTATTTATTGTTGCTTAACCAATTATCCCAAAACTTAATGGCGTAAAACTACACATATGTCTATCTGTCACTACTGTATTGATTAACTGGGGCTAGCTGGACAGTTTTTCTGCTGGTCTCATTTGGCAGCTCTCACTGTGTGGTTAAACAGTGTCAGGGACTGGTCATCTGGATGCTCAGCTGCAGTGGAATGTCTGAGACGGCTTCTTCACCCACAGGTCTGCTGCCTTGGTAATTCTTGGTGTGGCCTTTCTCTCTGCATAGCATCTCATCCTCTTGGATCTCTTCATGTGGCTTTTCTTTCTCCAAGAAGGTAGCCAATTCTTATTTTTGGCTTCCAGAAGCACAGAAATGGAGCTGCCAGGAGTTCTTAAGGCTTAGACCTGGAACAGGTCCAGTGTCATTTCTACCACATGCTATAGGTTAAAGTGAGTGTTGGGGCCAACCCAGATTGACTATGGGATGGGCCTGTCTAAGGACATGATGACAGGAGGTATGGCTCATTGGAGACCAACTCCCAGGATGAAGCATGAGTTCTAAGAACTTTTTGTTCTCTGATTATTTCTTATTCATATTGTTTTGTTTTATACATGTAATATATTCACAAGTGTCTTTATGAAGTGATTTTGATACTCTTTGTCTTCTCCCTGGCATCTCCTTGTTCTTTAATAATTTTTTTCTTAGTTTATTTTGGTCTTATTTTTCTTTTTAAAGCCTTTCCTTAAATATCTATTCTATGTTGCTTATCATTTGTTGTCTTTCTTTTTTTTTTGAGACCCAGTTTCGCTCTTGTTGCCTAGGCTGGAGTACAATGATGTGATCTTGGCTCACCACAACCTCTGCCTCCAAGGTTCAAGCAGTTCTCCTGCCTCAGCCTCCCAAGTACCTGGGATTACAGGCATGTGCTACCACACCCACCTAATTTGTGTATTTTTAGTAGAGATGGGATTTCTCCATGTTGGTCAGTCTGGTCTGGAACTCCCAACCTCAGGTGATCCACCCACCTCAGCCTCCCAAAGTGCAGGATTACAGACATGAGCCACCGTGCCTGACCTGTAGTCTTTTTTCCATTCCTTTATTTGCTCATTCATATTTGAGAGAGGTACTAAAAGACTGGGAGCCGGGGTGTGGTGGCTCACACCTATAATCTCAGTGCTTTGGGAGACCGAAGTGGGAGGATCACTTGAGCCCAGGAGCTCAAGACTAGTTTGGGCAACATAGTGAGACCCCATCTTTACAAAAAAAAGAAAAATAGCTAGGTGTGGTGACACCCATCTGCAGTCCCAGCTACTTGGGAGGCTGAGGCAGGAGGATTGCTTGAGCCCAGGAGGTTGAGGCTGCAGTGAGCTCTGATCATGCCACTGCATTCCTGCATTCCAGCCTGGGCGAAGGAGCAAGACCCTGTCTCAAAAAAAATAAATAAATAAAAATAAAAATAAATAAAAATTGATTGGGAGTTCTTTGTGGCCAAGACTTGTCAACTGATAGCTTTAAGGGGAATGTATGCTGATTCCTAATTGTTATCCTCCATCCCTCTATCTTATCTCCTGTTGCAATCTTAAATGATGGCTGGATGACTACTCCATTCCTCTGGATGTAAAATCTACATTCTCTTGCCTGAGGTAGATACGTTTGCTTGGGTTCTGTTCAAGGAGATGGGGCCAGCAGTGTGTTTCAGGGCCTGTGAAATGTGTTCTCTATCCGGGCTTTTGCTTAATCTCTGTTTTCAGTCTTGCCTATCAGTCCCACTGTCGGGGGTACCTCGTGTCTGGGTCTAGAACCTTTCCAGGTTGCTGTGGGACAGATTAGCCTCCTTGTTCTCAGTATCCCCCTGACCTCCACCTTTGTTGCTTTGCTCCATGAATTAACCATTTTCCATGTACTGTCATTGTCTAATGAAGATGAATTCTCTTCTGTTGGTAACCCCATTCCTTTTTTGTAATTGTGTGCTTATACAATGTTTATTCTTCACTGTATTTCTATTGGAGCCTCAGGACAAAGAGCAGATGGTGAGAATCTTTGTTCAGTGTTAAGTTTTCCTTCTGTAAGACATGTGCAACTTGTGTTTTTCACTGAATAGATCATCAACTTAATGCATATAGAGCTACTTTGTTTTTCATGATTGTGCCTTCAATTATATGTAGAAATATAATTTGTGAATTGCCTGATGAAATTTTCCTAATTTTGAATTATCTTTGCATTCCTATAGTAAACACTGTTAGAATGGCTATGGTAATATTTTATTTTTGTATTTTTACTTCTGTATTAAATAAGATTATAGTTTTGTTTGTTTCCTTTAAGGCTGTTATTTCATTTCAGTATCAAGGGTATGCAGGGCTGAGTTGGGAAGCTTTACATCTTTTTTCTAAGATCTAGGATGTAGATCTGGTTTACACAGTAATTTTCACCTGCAGGAGTATTTTGCCTCCTATGGGACGTTTGGAAATATCTGGAGACATTTTTGTGGTCACCACTGGTCATGGTCGGGAGGTCTTATTGGCATTCTGTGGGTAGACGGAATGTTACTAAATGCCCGACAACACACCAGGAGAACCCTCCACAAAGAATTATCTGGCCCAATATATCAATATTGCTGAGGCTGACAAATTCTGGTTTAAATAAATACCCAATTTGGGGGATGAGTCTTTGTCTTTTTCCTTCTTCTGCATATTGGTCTCCAGATTTCCCACTTCTTCAGTTAGTTTTCGTAACTGTAGGTTCTTAAAAAAAAATGAACACTTTGGCCGGGTGCGATGGCTCATGCCTGTAATCCCAGCACTTTGGGAGGCCGAGGCGGGTGGATCACGAGGTCAGGAGATCGAGACCATCCTGGCTAACATGGTGAAACCCCGTCTCTACTAAGCCAAAATACAAAAAATTAGCCAGGCGTGGTGGCGGGCGCCTGTAGTCACAGCTACTCGGGAGGTTGAGGCAGGAGAATGTTGTGAACCCGGGAGGTGGAGCTTGCAAGTGAGCCAAGATCACGCCACTGCACTCCAGCGTGGGTGACAGAGCAAGACTCCGTCTCAAAAAAAAAAAAAAAAAAAAAGAACATGTCATCCATACTTCTAAGGTGTTGTAAAGATGTGTAAAGTTTTCACTTTTTGCATCATATTCACATGTGGCTATATGCCCTTTTCTCTTCAAAGTTTTCTTTATCTTGATTACTTATCAGAGGCTTGACTGTTTTATTATCTCAGTCTTTTGAAAGAATCCTCCTTCAGTTTTGTTTTTTAAATCTAGTGGTTTTTCTTTTTCCTTTTTCCTGACGTCTTAATTATTTCTCCCTTTTTGTTTGCTTTGCTTTTCCTAGTTTAGTGGATCAATGTAATTTAAATTGCTTTTTAAACAAACATGTAAGGGTATACATTTTCGTTGGGTGCTGTTTGACTTTGTTGCACAAGTTTTAAAATCTATTTTTTAATAGCTTGTATTTTCTAAATTATTTTATTGCATCTTTTGTTCACATTGCTCTTACTATTAATTTTTTATTTTTATTAATAAATAAATAAATTAATTAATTAATTGAGATGGAGTCTTGCTCTGTAGCCCAGGCTGGAGTACAGCGGCATGATCTTGGCTCACTGCAAGCTCCACCTCGGGGGTTCATGTCATTCTCCTGCCTCAGCCTCCCAAGTAGCTGAGACTACAGCTGCCTGCCACCACATCCGGCCTTTTTTGTATTTTTAGTAGAGATGGGGTTTCACCGTGTTAGCCAGGATGGTCTCGATCTCCTGACCTCATGATCCACCCACCTTGGGCTCTCAAAGTCCTGGAATTACAGGCATGAGCCACTGCACCCGGCCCAAAAGCTTTGTGTTTTTACAGATATTAGACATGTTTCTTGTTTAAGAAAAAAAATCTTAACGAAAACATAGGAGAATAAGAGAAACATTTTTCCAAAAAAGAGAAATCATTGTGATTATTTTATCTTATTAGAATGTTGGATAATATAGTCTGCTTCATTAATCATCAAGCATGCTATGCATTTTCCATTTTTATAGGATCTGTATCTCAGTTAAGATAATACTGGTAATTTTTGTACTGTAATCAAAGATGAAAAATGTAGGCCAAAATCATAGACCTTGCATAGAAGCTGGATAATGAAGACAGCTATGGAGAAAAACATAGATACGCACACACGGACACACATATATATAAAGTATACACACATATATTTTTTAAAGTTTTAAAGCTGTTAAAGCAAAAGCTGGCCCCTCTTCTCTTCCAGAGTGGGAGGCCTCTCCCCTCTCTTAGAGTGGGTGCGGAGAGCGGTCGCATGGGCAGCTTTCCTTGTGAGCCACAGGGCCCTCTGGACACGCTGCTGTCTGGCCACGCCCCCTTTCCCTTTCATCTTTCTCATTGACCAATGGGCTTGGAGCATTAAGGCCACACCCCTATTCCGCATTCTACTGGGGCCCTGGTTACGCCTCCTCTGGCTCAGTCACACAGCTGCCTGGAAGGTGACTGGAGGCCTTGATCGGTTCTCATTGCGATTTTGCTGCTGTGGCCCCAACCCTGCCTCCCTCCCCACCCTGCGATGGCAGAAGAAACTCAACACAACAAATTGGCTGCAGCCAAGAAAAAGGTAAAAACGCACTAGGTCATAGCCCCTCAACCCAGCCACAGATCCCCTCTGATGACAAGACCCCTGCCAGAGTCTATACGACTCCTGAGGCACACTGGACTGGTCCCCCCAACCCCGGTGCCTTGGGCTACCCCCATCAAAGTTTTGTCAGTCAGCCCCACCCCTTCAGAAAGCAGCCCAGTCCTTGCCCTCGCCAATCACCCCAGGGTGACTTTGGGTGGGTGACTCCTGGGGCTTCCCGCTCCGTTACTGGGCCCTCATCTCCTGCCGCCCCAAGCTTGATCTCCCTGGGCTCTTTGGGCTCTCATCTCTGAGGAGCCAGGCCCCACCCTCGCCAATCATCCCTGGGTGACTTTGGGCTGGTGACTCCTGGGGCTCCCTGCTGCAGACTCTGCCCTCCCCTCCTGCTGCCTCAAGGTCGACCTCCCTGGGTTCTTTGTGCTGGCGTCTCCAAGGAGCTGGGTCCCAACCCTGTGCTTCCCTCCCCCATCGTGGAGCAGCGACTTAGACATGGTGCTGACATGGTCCCTCCCCCCGACCAGGAGGAGTGGAATGTTGTGATGTCACAGCCCACCTAGTAACTGCCGTTACTGCAAGACTGGCCTTTGATCTTATGACCCAGTCCCCTAAGCGTTCTCACCTCGTTTCTGGTTCCTCTGGTCACAGGACAAATTTCCAGCTGGAAGGGGAATGGAGACTATGGGACCTAGGAGCAAGAGGTTCCAGGCTGCCTCACTCCCTTACAGATGTTGACGGTGGGAAAAGCCTACACTTCCCCCATGAACTCAAAACATTGACGGTATCTCTGGGTGGCAATGAGAGAATGGGTTTGGTTTGGTTTTCTCCCAGGCTTCTACTTTCCAGAGAGATTTTAACATTTTTTTCTGAGTTCTCCACCTCATATTCTAATTCTCCATGGTTCTGGGACCAGACTCTCCTTCAGTCAGTGGTCTCTGAAGTGACATTTGCTCATCTTCTGTGGAATAGATCTTGGGAAACTGAACTTGACACCTTGAATCTTCCTCATATTATCTCAACTTTGGGTACTTTGAGTGCCACAGGATAAATGTGGGACATCTTTCTGAAGCATCAGTTTCCCTTGATTCTCTTGAGATCAAGAGAAAAAACATGAATATACTTAGGGATGACAGTCACATAGGTTTCTAAGAGTATACCAGCCCTCTCTCTGAAATGAGGCTTGGGTTGTCCTCTTTCTGATGAATTCTGATTTAAGAGAAAGGCTGCCTTCTGCCGTGAGGACACATTGATATAAAAGTTTGAGAGGTACTGGTGCACTTCTTCACACTAACAGACGTGTGAGGATGTATGACTCTAAACCACATGGCATACAGTTCCTGCCTACTTAATGTTTACTTTTCTACCTCTGCCTCTGGTTTTGGTCCCTGGCAGCTGCTGATTCTTGGCAAAACCTCAGAGCTTGGAGTCAGAAGACTGAGTTTCAAAGTTCCAGTATTGCCTTTTTCTTTTTTTTTTTCTAGCCATGATATCAATCCTTCTCAGTCACTAAATGAGTGTGACAACACCTTGTACAGTTGTTGGTGTCATTAAATCAGATGGTGTGTAAGTGTATTTTGTAAAAACTGTAAAGGAGGATGTGGCTGTAGGGGCTGACGGTTCTCATGAGTATTACTGCTCTTCTTTCCAACAGTTAAAAGAATATTGGCAGAAAAACAGCCCTAGAGTTCCAGCAGGAGCGAACAGGAACAGGAAAACAAATGGCAGTATCCCTCAGACAGCCACTTCTGGTGGTTGCCAGCCACCTGGGGATGTGAGTCTTGGCTGACCAGGCTTCTGGGGACAGGGGGCCCAAGGGGCAATAGAGGGTAATTGTTAAGATTGTGGATGGACTGCTGGGTACGGGTTAAGAATTCTGGCTTTAGCCGGGTGTGGTGGCCCACGCCTGTAATCCTAGCACTTTGGGAGGCCAAGGCAGGCGGATCATGACGTCAGGAGATAGAGACCATCCTGGTTAACACGGTGAAACCCTGTCTCTACTAAAAATACAAAAACATTAGCCAAGCGTGGTGGCGTGTGCCTGTAGTCCCAGCTACTCAGAAGGCTGAGGCAAGAGAATGGTGTGAACCTGGGAGGTGGAGCTTGCAGTAGCCAAGATTATGCCACCGCACTCCAGCCTGGTGACAGAGCAAGACTCTGTCTCAAAGAAAAAAAAAGGAATTCTGGGTTTGAATCCTGCCTCTCCATCTGCTCTGCTAGGGATATGATTTAGGGCAAGTTGCTAGACCTCATCGGGCCTCTCTTTTCACATCTGTATAATAGAGGTGATATTGTTTCACTTCCATTTGTGAAATTTTCATGAGATTTGTTATTGTTGTTTTTATGTTAATCCCTAGTACATGGCCTGCTGTAAACACTCAGGACACCCAGGATATGGTCTTTGCTGTTTGATTTTCCTCATCCCCAGTCTCAAGGGGAAGCCAGGACAATGAGAACAGCCACTTGCCATCAGGAGTCACTGAAGGGGCCCCAGGATGGGATGGTGGGGAGATAAGAACCATGAGAGAAGTTGGCACAAAGGAGTTATGGGACAAAGGGTCCAAGATAGGCAGAAAAGAAAATGTTGCCAGTTGATGGGGAAGAAAGGAAGTCAGAGGGCTCAGACACTGTGGGGGACAGAACATCTCCATGTGCACTCTCATCTCTTGTAGTCAGCAACAGGTTTTCACAGGGAAGGCCCTACATCATCTGCTACCCTGAAAGATCTGGAGGTAAGAGGCTCTGGGCAGAGGTGCAGTGACCCTTCGGGTCAGCCCTCCAACCTCCTCCTCCAGGAGGGACTGGGTGCCCCTCTGCCAGCTGAGACAGCCCACACACCCCAGCCCTAATGATTGTTCTCTCTACCTCTCCCCCGACTCCTGCTCCACCTCCTCCTCTCTGCATGCACCTCAGAGCCCGTGCCAAGAACGAGCAGTAGTCCTGGATTCAAGGTCCGTAGAAATCAGTCAACTGAAGAACACCATCAAATCTTTGGTAAGAGTCCGGTGGGGTCCCCTGATTCCACGCTGCCAATCCTGGGCTCCAGTTTCCCCTTGGGGCCCTGAAGAAAGGGGCTGGGGGTCCCTGGTGCCCAGGACAAATAGGGAGCTTGGGTGCCCAGGCCTCACCTGGAGGGACCCCAGAGCATGCAGCATGGCTCTTCTTTTGCTGCCCTCTTTGCCGACTCTCTCCTCTCCAGACACCCCTGCTCGAGTCCTTGCTACACACGCCCTGGGGTTGTTGCCTCTTGGGGAAGTGCTAGCCTGACTGGTTGTCAAGGTCCCCGTATTTCTGCCATGACTCAGTCCCTAATTTGCTCTTTGATTCTGGACAAGCCACCTCTCCTTTTTGGGCTCGTGTTTCCAGAGGAGGTAGTGAGTATCAAAGGTCTCTGTTAGCTCTCGAGTCTGAGATTTAAAGGCCCCCGAGAATGGAAACCTCAGGGCTAAGGGCTCCTGTCTGTCCTTTTCCATCCTATATCTGCTGTAAAGAACCGTACCTGGTCCATACATGCTCAGTAAATGTTTATTGAATGAACCCACTTTTCTAAATCACAAGCTGCCAGAAGGAGGGGCCTTTCTGAAACTCCATCTCTAGAGGTTTATGTTGCTGTCCTCTCAAGAGATTCCAGATTCAGACTTTGAGTTCTGTGGCTGTGGGCAAAAGCCCACAAAGACCCAAATCCTCTGTCCTTGGGAGCTTGAGGAGAGTTTACCAGTTCGTGTTCCCATTATGTCTGAGAACTTTGCCTTTAAAATCCATTCCTGGCCCCTGCCTACCGCTTCCTGGTCTGGGGAATAGAGTTGAGGGGGCCACCCTCCATCACCTTATTTGACTCTCCCCACAGAAACAACAGAAGAAACAAGTGGAACATCAGCTGGAAGAAGTAACGTGATTTCGTTTCCTTGCAACATGACTGCTGGAAGAAGGCTCACCCTTCAGATTCCACCCCATCCCCACAGGGCCCCGATAACCTGGTCCCATGGGTGGGCCTGTCCTGGGGCATTGGTGGCATTCTGGGGGCATGTCTCTTGCTGTGCCATCTCTGCCTCCCCCTGGTAAGAGCTCTGTCTTCCTCTTCCTACAGGAAAAGAAAGCAAACAACAAGAAACAGAAAGCCAAAAGGGTGCTAGAGGTGAGTGGAGGGTGTGCAGTTTCCTCCTGTCCTCCGGAGAATGTTTCTTTCCTTCTCTTTCAGCACTTGCTTGGCTTTTCTCCCAAAGGTTCAACTCCAGACATTGAACATACAGAAAGAGGAACTAAATACGGACCTGTACCACATGAAACGTTCTCTCAGATACTTTGAAGGTGGGAATCTGGGCACCCTGTCATCCTTCAACCTGGCACTTTGACAGGTCTTCAGGGGGAGTCCTTTGGGCCCCATCTCAACTCTCTCACTACAGAAAAGTCCAAGGATCTGGCTGTCCGCCTGCAACATTCATTGCAGCGTAAAGGAGAGTTAGAGAGTGTTCTCTCTGATGTCATGGCCACACAGAAGAAGAAGGCAAACCAGGTGAGTCCAACCACCTGCCCCATCCCCTGGGAGTCTGGCTTTGCAGATGGAGGAGTGAGCCTAAAGGTCCCTTCTGCAGGATGGCGTGTCCTGCCCAGAAGGCAGCATGGCCATTTCTTGCTACTTTTTTGTATGGTTTTTAGTGGCAGCCTGGGGCTGAGTCAGCTGCTGTGGGTGAGTTGGGGGTCACTGTGTGGAGTGAGCACTGGACGCAGAGCTTGGAGGCCAAGTGCCTGCCCCGCCCTTACCTGGCTGTGGTCTTGGGCAAGTCCTAGGTGGGGTATTGGGTACTTGTACTGTGAAGGTACAGAAGAGTACCTTTAGTATGTTACCATTTCTGTAGAAAGAGGAAACGTGTGCATGTGTGTGTGTGTGTGTGTGTGTGTGTACATACTATGATAATATACATAAAACATGTCTGCAAGGGTTCATAAAAAATTCAGGAGAGAGCAACAAGATGGCCGGGAGATACTTCCCTTCTGTACCTTCTGAGTTTTGGACTATGCAAATGTATCATCCTTTCAAAAAGTGAACAAAAGATTAATTTTCCCCTTCCTATCTGTGCCCCCATCCCCAGCAAGAAAAACGGGCTTAGAGAATTGGATAGACCTGGGTGTTTATATCCCAGCTCTACCTAAGTGAACTTAGGCAAGCACTTAACCTCAAATACTCCATGTTTTTTATCTCCACAATAGAGGGAATCATAGTAACTGTCTCCTATGGTGGTTGCGAGGATTAAATGGGATTGTTAGCATGGTATCTGGTGAAGCATTCCACAAAGGTTCAAACAGTGGTAATAATAACAGTAATAACAATAGCAATATTATCTGATCTCTCTGGGCCTCTGTTAGCCAGCTATAAACTCAATCTCATTCCCTGTCCGTTCCAACTTTACTGTGTTCTTTTAAAAACCAGACCACGGGCTTGGAAATGCCTTGATCTTTACTGACCGAGTTGTATATTGGGCCTAGCCCGAGCCCTGTTAAGGGGCACTGTGTGGAAATGCCCAGGCTCTCCAGATTGAAACTTCTCACTCTTTGCCATCCAGTTGTCCAGCCCCAGTAAAGCAGGTACGGAGTGGAAGTTAGAGCAGTCCATGCGGGAGGAGGCACTACTGAAAGTGCAGCTGACACAGGTGAGGTTTTCTGAGGGAGTTATGTGGAAGGAAGATGACCCCAGGTGGCCAGGAGCAGGTGAGGACCAGTGACAGCCCTTCCTAAGTTCTGTGCCCATTCTTGCAGTTGAAGGAGTCATTTCAACAAGTCCAATTAGAAAGAGATGAGTATTCTGAACATCTAAAAGGAGAGAGGGCCCGGTGGCAGCAGAGGATGAGAAAAATGTCGCAGGAGGTGAGATCTGACCCTTCAGCCCCCCCACATTAGATAGGTCACTGGATCTTTCTGGTCATCTGTAAAATGGGAATAGTAGAGCCAGAGGTGGTCATGGGTCTGGGCTTTGTGGAGGTGGGGGCAGAGAGGGAGAGGGCAGCCTGTCCAGCCTCCAGCCCCTCTCTCCAGGGCCCTTTCCCCTTGTGCTTTGGGCAGATTTGCACATTAAAGAAAGAGAAGCAGCAAGATATGCGTCGGGTAGAGAAGCTGGAGAGGAGCTTGTCCAAACTCAAAAACCAGATGGGTAAGATGGGGCTGGCATGACCTGGGAGCAGGACTGGCATCAGAGGGCTGTGAGGGTGGCTTAGAGTGCCCCAGGGAGGTGGGTGGATGGAAGGGCTTTGAGGCAGAGGGAAAGAGATCTGTGCCAGGAGACGGCGAGTCTTGTCATCTCAATGAGTCTCAGTGTCTCAGTGTCCCCATCAGCAAAGAGGGCCCGTTGTCAGCCACCCGCAGTGCTCTTTCTCTGAAAGTGCTTTGGAAGACTGGCTACCATCTGGGTGCGAGGAATCATTAGCAGTGAGGCCAAGTTTGAGGAGCCTGAGAGGAGCTGTGCGCCAAGAGGAGGGTTTTTCTTTTCCGAGAATCCAGAGGCCCTTATTGTCTGCTTCCTTTCTCAGCTGAACCCTTGCCCCCGGAGCCCCCAGCAGTGCCCTCTGAGGTGGAGCTGCAGCACCTGAGGAAGGAACTAGAGAGAGTGGCAGGAGAGCTCCAGGCCCAGGTCAAAAACAATCAGCGCATAAGTCTCCTGAACCAGCGACAAGAAGAGAGGATTCGGGAGCAGGAAGAGAGGCTTCGGAAGCAGGAGGAGAGGATTCAGGAGCAGCACAAGAGCCTTCAGCAGCTGGCCAAGCCACAGAGCGTCTTCGAGGAGCCGGTGCGTTGCCCAAACTGGGGAGCTTGCCCTCCTCCCTAGCCCTCCGGGCCTTTGTTTCCCCACCTCTAAAATGGGGCAGTGTAGCCCTCACATGAAATGTTACTTCTAAAGGCACCTGTGAGCCAGGTGGCTGTGGGAGAGAGGGGGTGATTTTTCTAACCTGCCTCCAGCCTTCCCAGTGCCATGGGAGGCAGACACCAAGTTCTGGGGTCTCCAGCTGCAGTGGGTGGCTGCTGATTGCTTCTCTCTGTCCAGAACAATGAGAACAAGAGCACACTGCAGTTGGAGCAGCAAGTAAAGGAGCTACAGGAGAAGCTTGGCGAGGTGAAGGAGTCGGAAACCTCCACCCCATCCAAGAAGGGCTGGGAGGCGGGCAGCAGCCTCTGGGGAGGGGAGGTACCAGGCCAGAGGCAGCTTCCAGCCTGGGGGCTGGTGACCACAGCACCCCCCAGGGCAGTCCTGTTTCTTGCTTCCTGCCTCTGACTTTTAAAGGTGGGTAGCCCTGGGCTCCTCTCAGGTCTGGACATCATCATCCTAGCTAGAGGCATGGAGCCCCCAATCACAGGGGAAGAGACAGTGCTATAACAGGCTCCTTATGCCAGGTGCAGTGGCTCATGCCTATAATCCCAGCACTTTGGGAGGCTGAGGCAGGAGAATCACTTGAGGTCGGGAGTTTGAGATCAGCCTGGCCAATGTGGTAAAACCTCATCTCTACTAAAATTACAAAAAAAAAAAAAATTAGCAGGACATTGTGGTGCATGCCTGTAATTCCACCTACTCGGGAGGCTGAGGCATGAGAATTGCTTCAACCCAGGAGGTGGAGGTTGCAGTGAGCTGAGATTGCACCACTGCACTCCAGCCTGGGCCACAGAGTGACACTCTTGTCTGAAAACAAAACAAAAAGACTCCTTAGATTAAAACTGGATTCCAGCCTCGGTTCCACTGGTCACCGTTCAAGTACTTTGCATCTCTAAGTCTCTGTTTCTTTAACTTCAAAGGGAAGTTAGCATTTTCCTTACAGAGGTGCTGCGGATTAAATGAGAAGAGGGTATGAGATTTGAGGCTGGGGAAGGAGGCATGGGGTTCTAGGAAAGGGAGGCAGTCACTTAGGCCTGGAGTAAGGGGACAGGGGCCTGGGCAGCTGACAGAGCCCCACAGTGCCCTCGCTACCCTATTAATGGGCCCAGAATCTGGAAACCAGCCACCACGTGCCCTCACACCCAGGGTCTTCCTGCAGGTGGAGCTGAAGAGCCAAGAGGCTCAGAGTCTGCAGCAGCAGCCAGACCATTACCTGGGTCACCTGCAGCAGTCCGTGGCCACCTATCAGCAGCAGGTGGCCGCCTATCAGCAGTTGACCTGTGAGAAGGAGGCGCTGTACAGGCAGTGACTGCAGCAGACCCAGCTAATGAACCAGCTGCAGTAGCAGGAAGCTTGAGGCAAAGCGGTGGCCGATATGGCCTGCCAAAAGTTGCAGGAGACCCAGGGGAGGGAGCTGCCGAGGATGGGGCTGTGAGGGGGACGACCTGGCAAACTCCATCCCTTCTCACTCTTTCCTGGCCCCTTAGGAGCACCTGGAAGCTGCCAGCCAGCAGAACCAGCAGCTAACGGCCCAGCTGAGCCTCATGGCTCTCCCTGGGGAAGGTACGGGAGACCGCTCAGAGGAAGAGGAGAGAGCCCCAGGAGGAAGGGGGGACTGCTAGCAGCATAGGATTGAGGAGTTGGAAGAGACCTTTAGAACAGCTGGTCATTATGCCGACCGGGTGCCTGCACTAAGTTCGGCATCAGTGTGGTGACCTCCTGTGAGCGGGGGGTCACCAAGTTGCCTAAGGATGGCTGAACTGGCCAAGGTCAGAAAGGGAGCAGGTCAGAACTCCCACATCGACCAGTAGTGGGAGTGTGCCTGGGCGGAATAGCAAGATCTTGATTCTTAAAAGTAAAAATAAAGAACAACAGCTCATTCCTCTCTGGGGAGGGGCTGGCTCAGGGTTACACAGTGAGGGTGGAGGTAGAGGTGGGCCCACAGTACCTCCCTTGTTGGGTTGTCTGAAGACCCCTCTGGCCACCCCCCACAGGACACGGAGGAGAACATCTGGACAGTGAGGGGGAGGAGGCACCTCGGCCCATGCCGAGTGTCCCAGAGGACCCGGAGAGCAGGGAGGCCATGGTGAGCCTGACTCCCCCTGCACCCATTTTGCCACCTTTCTCTGTGGTCCCTCCAAGACCCCTTTATGCTCTTCGTTTCCCTGCCTTCTGATTTCTCTGGACCCTCACCCCTTCTGAGAGCCAGTGGTCAGACAACATTTCACCTGTGACCAACATGTGCAGTCTCTGGGGGCCCAAGGGAAGGGGTTGCGCTCCACCTCTCTGCCCCATTTCTTCTGTGTATGCCCCTAGAAGAATGCTCACATCTTGCCCTCAGGTGGCATTTCTCAAGTCCGCTGGAGCTAGTGCCCAGGAGAAGCAGGCACAGTTACAAGAGCAGGTGAAAGAGCAGAGGGTGGCTGCCAGCGCCTGGCTCACCCGGTGGCCTCGGCCCAGAAGGAGCCAGAGGCAGCCAGAGGCCCTGCAGCCCCAGGGCCTGGGGGCGAGTCTGTGAGTGGGGAGACCCACTGGGCCCTGCAGGAAGTCACGGAGAAGCTGGCCCATGCCAGGACTCACCTCCACCTTCTCCATGACTTGAAAATGCCACCTGAGGGCAGGTCGCTGCCGAGATGTGACTGCAATATTTTGGCTCCAGAGCAGCTTTATGGACCACCTGGAGGAGAAGGCAGACCTGAGTGAGCTTGTGAAGAAACAAGAACTTCGCTTCATTCAATACTGGCAAGAGAGATGCCATCAGTGAGTGGGAGGCCAGGGCACGGCAGGGGGAGCTGCAGGACCGTCGGAGGGGCCCCAGCGTCTGAGCCCCGTCCTCCCGCAGGAAAATCCATCACCTTTTATCAGAACCAGGGGGCCGTGCCAAAGATGCGGCACTGGGAGGAGGACACCATCAGGCTGGAGCTCAGGGAGGAGATGAAGGTAGGGTGTGCAACATCTCTGTGGGGGTGGGGGTGGGGGTGGGTGTGAGGGTGGGCGCAGGCAGCGGCATGGCAGCTGAGCACCCCTCCCTCCAGGTGAAGCTGCTGGAGCTGCAGCAGATGGTATTGCGGCTTACAGCAACTACAACAATGGGCACAGAAAATTCCTGGCCGCTGCCCACAACTCTGCTGATGAGCCCGGTCCAGGAGCCCCAGCTCCCCAGGAGCTTGGGGCTGCAGACAAGCATGGTGGTGAGTACAGCCCTCAGGTGGTGTGGGCAGGCAGGAAGAGGGGGCTCCCACTGTGCTCAGATCCCTGCCTCCCTCTCTCCAAAGATCTTTGTGAGGTGAGCCTCACCTCCTCTGCCCAAGGAGAGGCCAGGGAGGATCCTCTCCTTGACAAGCCTACTGCACAGCCGATCGTGCAGGACCACCAGGAGCACCCAGGCTTGGGCAGCAACTGCTGTGTGCCATTCTTTTGCTGGGCTTGGCTGCCAAGAAGAAGGAGATAAACATCACCATCCTCAAAGAGCTGCTCAAGAAATTTTTAAATAAGAAACCAAGTTATGGGGTTAATCTCCTACACAATTCATTTACTTCCTTTGAATGTTAGAGTCACTCATGATTATTTGTGTTTCTAATTTATAGTTTTAAGTTTATTTGTAAAAAGTTAAAAGAGAGTGGGTGTCTGTGGCTCTCACTGATGTTCACTCTGGCATCCTTTAGCATTTTTCTTTTTTAATTTCATAATTGTAGGTCATTAGCATGCATATCGAGTTTGCCCTTACGTGGTGGAAGTTCAAACACACAAAGACCCACTCTTTGCCCAAAACTGTTCTCGCTGGTTTGGAATAGGCTGCCATGCTTTTTTAATGTTATTGCAGCATGTATATTCACTACAGAATTCAGACAAAATTTGCCTATGTTCTGCTGTTGTTTGATCTAATCTTAATCACAGTGAGCTCTTCGTTAGCTCAATATGTAGTTTGCCCCCAAGTGTGCACTGTTTATTACTTTGTAATATGCCACTATGAGTACTGACATTTAGAGTTGTTTAAAGGCCAAGAACTGGAAACAGCCTTTCCTCCATTTTCTGTGTATTGGTGATGGGAGTGAAACCTTTTGGGGGAGCTTTTTAAATCTCACAGAAGAGGAAAGTGGCTTCCTCTGGCAGGTATGTGCAGGATAGAGTGTGTTTCATCTGTTCCGGTGCCAGGAATTAGCGGTGTATTATGGTGGTGCCCTTAGGATTTGTATGTGCTCTGGGCTCATGAAGATACTGCATCATGAGCTGCAGCAGTTGTACTCTTTTTCGATGACCTAAAAAGGGCTTATTTCTGAGGAATGAAAGGTTCCCATCGTTGACTGTGGATGTGGAAAACCTTTCCTAGCTTAGAGCATTTGTATCTACAATACATTTTAAAGTCAGAGTTCATGTTACCTGTTTTAATCGCATGACTACATGTCCCAGTACACAAAAGGACACTGGTTGGCATTCTTCTTAATGTATTTAGTGAAGATCATAAGAAATCCTTTATGAGTTCAAACGTCCCTGGAACAGGCATACAGGCTCTAGTCAAGAATGAATTAGAGTGAAGGAAAGCTGTGTGACACCTGGCATTCCTCTCTGTTCACGTATTCTTTGAGGCTTGAAGATTGATTTTACCATCTAGACCTCTTTGGCTAATACCTATTCTTCAACCACCTTGGTTACTCTGACATAGGAATTTACTTCTTTTTCCTTGAATGGAAAACACTTTAAAAAATAATAGAAACATTATTATAAACTAATATATGTGAGATACTTAGTTGAAACAAAAAGGAGTTTTAGTAGACGGTATTATACTATCTTTGAAAATCAAGGAGAAGTTTATGAAACTTAAAATGTGTACAAACTGCAGTGCAATCTACTGTTCGTGAATGTCAATGTATTATCAGGAAACGTGTCTATACAATCACAGAGTTATATTTTCTCACAGACTTCTTTACAAAGTGAAATATGTTTTTGTACCTCTGGGTTTCTGTTCGGGACATATTTTGTGCAATATTTATGTGATTGTGCCTATGCATGATGAATGAATGCATTTCAGTTATATATTGCCTAAATCGTAACTTGATGATGCTTGGGAAAGACTCAACAGTTAAAACTTCATGAAGTTCTAATGTCTGTGTTCCAAAACACATCACATTGTTAGGATGCAGGGAGATAGGTGTGTGTGCTCCCTGCGGTGGGGATTTCTAGTTACTAGATCATCTCCATTTTTAGCATTTGGCATCCTCATGATACTTCTATAAATATGACATTAACAGGAGAGCAACAGTACGATTTTACCGATGGAATAACAGATTTGCTGGCATTCACTGAAAGAGTGCAAATATTCGGTCCTTGTGACTTCCACTGACTCTTCCAAATTTTATGAATGTATCAATGTATTAGATAAACCCAGTTTCAGAATGATAAAGAAAAAATCTTAGACCAAATAATGCGGCTAATTAACAGTGGTACGATTTGTAGCCCGTGGGTTTAAAATGCACTTAAAGTCCTGTTCTCGCCTTTTATTTTCTGAACTTGCCGCTTTTGCATTCTTTGAGTTCAGTTTAAAGACAGTTACTTTAAGAGCATTTTAAACCCTCGGGCTAGAAATCGGACCACTGTTAATCAGCCACATTATTTGGTCTAACGTTTTTTCTTTTATCATTCTGAAACTGGGTTTATCTAATACATTGATAAATTATTGCAAAGGTACTTTTATCGTTGAAATCACTTCACTTTTACCCTGATAAATATCAGTGACTAGGAATGACCTTCGGATAGCGTTTAGCATCTGTAACCAATCTGACAATAATGTGTTCATGAGGTGCCTATGGATTAAATCACACACTGGCATATTTAAGCTGAAGGTCAGTCTGGAAAATAAATTTACTATATTGACTGAAATACCACTCTTTGTATAGGTATTTGTCATATATTTAAGAAAAAGCTAAAAAGAATGGAAATTGTATGACAATAACTCAAGTCTTTCTCCAAAGTGCATGCAGTCTTTTGCGATACCTCATTCAGCCGAGTATTTGTGCTCTTCCTCATTCTGTATAAGGCAGCTTTCAGTTTGCTTAGAAGGCAACATTGGAATGTTAGAGTTCATCAGAAACACAGAATTTTAAACTGTGAGTTCCACTGAATACATTTTAATTTCTGTAGGAAGAATCAAAATACCTATTTAAAGATGGCAATATATAATAATCATTTTAAAAGTATTTGATTCAACCTGATAATTTTCCAGAAATGAAAAAAAAAATCAGCTCTAAAACCAAAGCTGATTTTAGAAAATTTGAAAATGTAAATCAGCCCTATCCATAATATAGTTTCTCTAAAACTTTAAAGAGTTGTTTTAAAATAATATAACTATTAAAATATGTAACTGCTATCTTAATGTTCTGAAATAATTTAAAACATTTTAAAATATGAATACTGTAGTATAAAAGAAAGAAACAGTGGGAACGAAAAGCAGAGAAAGAAATGCCAATTCCAGTCCAAAGTTTTATTTGCCAAGTTTTCTTAGAATGAATTTTACCAGTTTATGAATTATTATAAACAGAATGTGTAATGGAAATACTGAAAGATTTTTCCCTAGAGTGGCCTTATTGACTGCTGGTGTGATGCCACTGTAATGTAATAAATTATTAAGTTGTTTGAATGTGTTGTTTTTGCCTTAAAATTTTATTTTGCGTTTCTTGAAAACTATAGTATTAAAGGTATTGATACTGTGCAAATGCTGGGCATGCTTGGCATGAGATAATGTGTTTCATTTTTACAAAGTTGTAATATAACTATGCAAGTGTTTATTAAAAACCAAAATAAAAAAGTTATGGGTTAATTAAAAAACTTTTATTAAAGTTTTATAAAAAGTTATTTTATTAAATAACTTTATTTAAAAAAGTTATGGGGTGAAAAAGTTATGGGATAAAAAATGTAAAAACGTTGTGGCAAAAAAACTTGTGGGAACAAAGTAGAAAACAGTATTATGAAAAGTTACAAAAAAAGTTATGAAAAAGAAGTTACGGGATTCTTTTTTAAAAAGTCATGGAATAAAAATAAAAATTAAAAGCAGGCCCCTGTCAGCAAAGCCTGGAGAAGTGGGGCCGGAGTCTCCACCGCCACCATGTCCCTACCACCCCTTCCCAGGCACCCCTTTACAATTAGGGTAGCAGGACAAGACCTCTGTCTAATGGGGAAAGACAAACAGACCCTTTGCCACCCTGACCAGGGCTGAGTCCCTAAATTTCTGGATGATGATGATTGTTATTTAAGAGCCAGAGGCTGGTGGAGTTGGTTTGTTTGGAGGAGGCCTGATGTCCCCCTTACTCTCACCATAGCAACTTTTCCCTCAGGGGGGCTCCCATCTTCTTATTCAGAGAGGTAGCTGAGGCCAGAAAGTGGGGCTAACTGTGGACCAGCGAGGGCATGGGCTGCTGGGGTGGCCCACCTTCCCCGGTGTACATACTGTGTCTGTGTAACATTTTGTATATTCCAGAGGGTAGGGCTGCCCCTGTATCATACCTAGCAGAGGTTGGAGCTGTCACATGGGGAGGAGGTTCTAATAATTATTTGTGGCTGGGAAACTTATTTATTGCTAGCGTAGGACAGAGGAAGGAGGCGGGGATGGGGTCGTGGCTCTCTGGTGGTATGATCACAGCTTACTGCAACCTCCAACTCTTAGGCTCAAGTGATCCTCCCACCTCAGCCTCCCAGGTAGCTGGGAGTATAAGCATGCACTACTATGCCTGGCTAATTTTTAAATTTTTTTGTAGAGAAAAGGTCTTACTATGTTGCCAATGCTAGTCTTGAACTCCTGGCCTCAAGCAATTCTCCCATCTTGGCCTCCGAAAGCACTGGGATTACAGGCACGAGACATTGCTCCTGTCCATTAGGTTTTCTCTTTATTACTGTTTTGTTGTTGTGGTTGTTGTTTTGTTTTGTTTTGTTTTGTTTTTTGACAGAGTCTTGGTCTGTTGCCCAGGCTGGAGTGCCGTGGTGTGATCTCGGCTCACGGCAACCTCTGCCTCCTGGTTCAAGCAATTCTCATGCCTCAGTCTCTCGAGTGTCTGGGGTTACAGGCATGAGCCACTGCGCCCCTGGCTAATTTTTGAATTTTTAGTTGAGACAGAGTTTTGCCGTGTTGGCCAGATTGGTCTTGAACTCCTGCCTCAAACAATCCGCCCTCCTCAGCCTCCCAAAGTGCTGGGATTACAGGGGTGAGCCACTGCTCCTGGCTAAGATCCCATCTCTATTTAAATAAAAAAAGAAAATTCAGAGCATGTGGAATACAGAACACCAAAGTCCAAAGTTATTTACCTCTCTGAGGTAATCTGTGTAAACAATTTGAAATATATCTTTTCAAGTTCATGCTTGCTATGCATATACATACATATACACACATACGTTGACATAGTCCCCCTTCCCTGCTGTCATGCTATTAGAGTCTTCTTTTTTTTGTAGAAATTGGACCAACTCTATGTTCTTTGCTGGCCCATATTTCTCCTATTCAGTGATGTGTTACAAATGTGTGTTTAAGTCAATGTATGCAACTCTTCAATATCATTTTAAAAGGTTAAATATACGATCATATGAAGGCATTAGAATTTATTCCAACAGTTCCATTTTGCACATTTAATAATTTCCATTGGTTTGCCAGGGAGAACATTCTCGTGTCATGGCTAAATCCTTTTGTATGGCCATCCTTAATTATTCCCCTAAGATAAACTTTTAAATAAAGTTGCTAGATGAGTCTCATTTCTTAAAAAGTTCTTTTTTGGTAGTTTATATGTAACACTGTAGTTTTATATGTACTTGCAAATAGCTATAGTGCCAGTAAAAAATGTGATAAAATTAAACTCTTTCACGTATGCCAAATATATTTTGATTTAGTGCTTCATTAAGTGCATGATTACAGTCTCTATATCTTTTGATTTACCTTTCTATCTTTACAATTTTCAGCCCAGATACTTAGAGGTCACATAGTAAATTAAGGTTTTCTTTTTATAATAATCCCCATCTTTCTAAATTTGGTGAGTCACAGTAAGTTATTTTTTGGTTGTTGAAAGCTGTGGCTCTGTTCTAAATTTGAGCCCAGAAATCATGCCACTTACAAAATATGCTTTGTCTTCCAACATCAGAGTGTGTGGTAGAAGGTGACTGTTCTTGGAATTTAAAAAATCTAAACAGGACAAGACAAGAATATGGAAAATATTTCTGTTTCTGATAATATGGCTGAGTAGGTACTCTGCAAAGCCTCTGTCATAAAATAGACATTCTGGATGGTCCTTGCAAAGACATATTTGATCTTGCCAAAAAAAAAAAAAAATCCAGAATCTCTAAGAATGAAGATGAAGTGAAAATCAGAAGGGCTACTATGAGAATAATGGGGAAGCAGCCCCAGTTATCAAGGGATGTTTGCATGTGTTCAATAAAAAGTTTCAAACCTAAAAAAAGTTAAGAAAAATAATATAACTGCCCTACATACATACATCATCAACAATTTTTCATTCATGGCATGGCCAGTTTTTGTTTTGTTTTTTTTTTTAAAGGTGGGCTTTTGCTGTGGTTGCCCAGGCTGGAGTGCAGTGGCATGATCTTGACTTACTGAAACTTCTGCCTCCCAGGTTCAAGCAATTCTCCTGCCTCAGCCTCCTGAGTAGCTGGGATTACAGGCACCCGTCACAACATCCGGCTAATTTTTGTATTTTTAGTAGAGATGGGGTGTCACCACGTTGGCCAGGCTGGTCTTGAACTCCTGACATCAGGTGATTTGCCTGCCTCGGCCTCCCAAAGTGCTGGGATTACAGGCGTGAGCCACCGCACCTGGCCACATCCTGTTTTGTTCCATTTGTATTCCCACTTCATTTATATACATTCCTTCTTCCTCTGAATTATTTTTAAGTAAAACCTATATATCATATCATTTTTAAAATTACCTTATATGTATCTGTAGAAGACAAGGAATTTTTAAAAATAAATATACTCATAACGCCATTAAATATCAAAAAATTAATACATTCTGAAAATAGCCACAAATCCAGAGTTCACATTTTCTTGACTTTCTCATAAGTGATTTTTTCTAGGTTATCTATTTCAATCAGATACCTGTTTGCTCATATTTACATTCCTAACTGAACAATGTCTGAAGAGGTACTTAAACCTGACATAAAACGCAAATGAGCTTATGACCAAATGCTTAGTGCAAGAAAAAACTTCACACTGCAAGATGAGTCCCTCCAAATACAGAAAGGACCAGTATTTTAAGAGGTATGTTAACTACAATGTTGCAGTGTATGGAGCAGAGCAGGAAGAACCTTTAAGTCTGAAAAGTACAAGTAAATTTCAGTTTCCCTGGTCCTTCCACAACAACCTCTGGCATCTGTTTTTTCTACAATGGAGGTAACAGTAGCTCTTTCAGAGCAGGAAAAGGCTTAGAGCAGTGCTAGAAGAGGGTGGTGGCTATATAAAGTGTAGCTATTTGTATATTGTAACAAACCAACTTTTTTTTTTTTTTTTAAGTCAATAGTAGATTTCTTTTGGAAAAATAGCAGCCTCCTGTCTGGGGACACCTGCAGTTCCACTAAGTGAACATTGGTGTCTGCTCACCTTTGCCTCTATTTCTCTCAATAATATACTCTTAAGCTGTTCCCTGATTTAGCAATTTTATATACTTTCTTTTTCTTTATTTTTTTTTCCTTTCCCTTTTCCTGAGACACTGTCCCGCTCTGTCGCCCAGTCTGGACTGCAGCAGCGCCAACATGGCTCACTGCCACCTCCACCCCCTGGCTCAAGCAATCCTCCTACATCAGCCTTCAGAGTAGCTGGGACTGCCCGCCGGGCCCACCAGGCCAGGCTAATCTTTATGGTTTTTGTTTTGTTTTTCTGTTAAGAGACCTGGTGTCAGGTCAGGCGCAGTGACTCACGCCTGCAATCCCAGCACCCCAGAAGGTGGAGTCCGGCAGATCACCTGAGGTGAGGAGCTGGAGACCAGCCTGACCAACATGGAGAAACCCAGTCTCTACCAAAAAAATAAAAAAATAAAAAACTAACTTGGCATGGTGGCTCACGCCTGCAATCCCAGCCACTCAGGAGGCTAAGGCAGGAGGACCACCCAAACCCGGGAGGTGGAGGCCACGGGGAGCTGAGACCGGGCCACTGCACTCCAGCCTGGGCAACAAGAGCGAAACTCTGCCTCAAAAAAAAAAAAAAAAGACCGGTTTCACCACGTTGCCCAGGCCGGTCTGGATCTCCTAGGCTCAATCGATCCTCAGTGCTCGGCCGTCCAAAGTCCCAGCTGGGATCACCAGCGTGAGCCACCACGCCAGGCCAATCTGTTCCTTTCTGATTAATAAATTGGGCCGGTCACAGTGGCTTATGCCTGGAATCGCACCACCCCGAGAGGCCGAGGCGGGTGGATAACCTGCAGTCGGGAGTTTGAGACCAGCCTGACCAATGTGGAGAATACTCGTCTATACTAAAAAAAAAAAAACAAAAAATACAAAGTTAGCAGGCATGGTGGTTCACACCTGCAATTCCAGCCACTCGGGAGGCTGAGGCAGGAGAACCACCCAAACCCAGGAGGCGGAGGCCCAGTGAGCTGAGTCCACGCCACTGCACTCCAGCCTGGGCAACAAGAGCGTAACTCCACCTCAAAAAAAAAAAAACAAAACAAAAACAAAAAACAAAGCGACCGGGTTTCACCGTGTTGCCCAGGCTGGTCTGGAACTCCTAGGCTCAAGCGATCTGCCGCTCTCGGCCGTCCAAATTCCTGGGATCACAAGCATGAGCCACCACTCCAGGCCAATCTATTCCTTTCTAATTAATAAATTGGGCCAGGAACGGTGACTCAAGCCTGCAATCCCAGCACCCAGGGAGGCCGAGGCGGGCGGATCACCTGAGGTCGGGAGTCTGAGATCAGCCTGACAAACATGAAGAAACCCCGTCTCTACCAAAAAAAAAAAAAAAAAAGCCGGGCATAGTGGCTCACACCTGCAATCCCAGCCACTTGGGAAGCTGAGGCAGGAGAACCAACCAAACCCGGAGAGGGAGGCCACAGGCAGCCGAGACCACGCCACTGCACTCCAGCCAGTCAGCAAGAGCGAAATTCTGTCTCAAAAAAAAAAAAAAAAAAAAAAAAAGAGAACAAGTTTCATCATGTTGCCCAGGCCAGTCTGGAACTCCTAGTCTCAAGTGATCCCCCGCGCTCAGCCCTACAAAGTCCTGGGATCAATCGTGAGCCACCACGCCAGGCCGATCAGTTCCTTTATGATTAATAAATTGGGACTTGCGCAGTGGCTCACGCCTGAAATCCCAGCACCCCTAGAGGCCGAGGCGGGCAGATAACCTGAGGTCGGGAGTTTGAGACCAGCCTGACCAACATGGAGAAACCCCATCTCCACCAAAAAAAAAAAAAAAAAAAAAAAAAAAAAAGAGCCGAGCATGATGGCTCACGCCTGCAATCCCAGCCACTAGGGAGGCTGTGGCAGGAGAACCACCCAAACCGGGGAGGCAGAGGCCCGGCGAGCTGAGTCCACACCACTGCACTCCAGCCTGGGCAACAAGAGCGGAACTCCGCCTCAAAAAAAAACAAAAACAAAAAACAAAAAAAGTGACCCGGTTTCACCATGTTGCCCAGGCTGGTCTGGAACTCCTAGGCTCAAGGGATCCAACACGCTCGGCTGTCCAAATTCTTGGGATCACAAGCGTGAGCCACCACACCAGGCCGATCTATTCTTTTCTGATTAAGAAATTGGGCTGGGTGCGGTGGCTCACACCTGCAATCCCAGCACCCTGGTGGCTCATGCTTACAATCCTGAAGCAGGATTTTTAAGGAATTAGAGAGACTGATGGGGTTTAGGAGGTTATTAATTAATTATTTACGTGCATTGACCCAGTCGGATTAACATTTAAAGCACTGAGTTCTGAACAAGACTTACCTTTTAAGCATTTTATGGGGTGGGGGTAGATCTGTGCAGGGTGAAGCATATGATAGAAGTGAGAAACAAAGATAATTGTTCAATTGAATCATGCATTATATTATTTTTTCCTTTTTTAGGAAAAATATGTTTTGTAACTTGAGTTTGTTTAGTGACCTTGCAGTTGTACAGTTAGGGAATTAGGGTTTTTATAATGCCCGGGAAGGGAGGAGAGATAAGGCTCACTGCCATAGAAAAACAGGAGGTAGTAGTTTTTTTTGAAGGACTCTAGCTCTTCTCTTTCTCAGGGGGAATTGGGTTTTTTTACATACAACTGAGTTTTTGTTTACACATTTTTAAATTTCTTTTAATTCCTGTTCCCATCCCAGCACCCTGAGAGGACGAGGCAGGCAGATAACCTGAGGTCGGGAGTTTGAGACCAGCCCCACGAACATGAAGCCCCATCTCCACCAAAAAAAATAAATAAATAAATTAGCCGGGCATGGTGGCTCAGCCTGCAATCCCAGCCACTCGGGAGGCTGAGGCAGGAATATTTTCTCCCTCCCTTAGATAAAAGATAGCATATACCATTGTGCACTTTGTTTTTTGACCTGGGGTGGGGTCTCACTCTGTCACTGAGGCTGGAGTACAGTGGGGTGATCTTGGCTCACTGAAACCTCTGCCTCCTAGACTCAAGCTGTCTTCCCACCCCAGCCTCCAGGGTAGCTGGAACCACAGGTGTGTGCCACCACACCCGGCTATTTTTTTTGTATTTTTGGTAGTGACTGGGTTTTGCCATGCTGCCCAGGCTGATATCGGGCTCAGGCGATCCACCTGCCTCAGCCTCCCAGAGTGTTTTCAAAGTGCTGGGAATTACAGGTGTGAGCCACTGCATCCGGCCCATTTTGCACCTTTTTAAACTTCTCTTAGAGATCACTTCATATCTGTTTATAGAAATGTTCTTCATCTTTTTTAAAATTAGTACTTTGTAGTGTGGATGTACCACTTTTTTATTCAGTTAGGTTTTTTTTTGACATTTGAGTGTTAGGTCTTTTTTTCTGACATTATAAGACTAAAATATGAAAAGAAAAACTAGAAAAAATTTCAAAGAAAATTTACCTGTCTTTGTGATCTTGTTGTAGGGAAACTTTTTGTAATGGTTAGTATCCAGGATATGAAAAATAGCCTAATAATGAAAAGAAAAACTTAAGACAAAATGGGCATAGGATGTGAAGAGTTACTTTATAGAGGAAGAAACTGGAATGGTCAGTAAACATGGGAAAAGATACTTGAACTAGAAACTCATGGATAAATTGAAAGTTAAAATGACTATTCTGTCATCTTCAGATTGGCGAAAATGTAAGTCTGACAGAATTGCTGGCAGAGATATGGGCCAGTGGAAACTCAGCTAGGTAAAGTGGAGTGCAATTTTATAATCTCTAATGAAGTTGAAGATGCACATACCTGAGCAAAAAAACACATGTGTACAAAGAAATTTGGAAAACCTGTTTATCACGGTAGTATTTGCAGTAACATAAGATGATGCAGAATGTAAGTTAACCAACAAGAGATTGGATAAACTCATATCCATGTGGTGGAATATTATACAGCAATTAAACATGAACATACTAGATTGAAAAGAATTAACATGGGTAAATCTCATGAAGAAAACTTTGGGTGAAAAAGGCAAGCTGCAGAAGGATATGGGCAATATAATAACATATGTGAGTAGTTCATTTCCATATTTATGTTGTTTCAAAGGAGTTATCGGCCAGGCACGAAGGCTCACACCTGTAATCCTGGCACTTTGGGAGGCTGAGGTGTATCGGGCAAAATTCACCCCCGATATTTCACATAGTTTCTTTTCTATTTTCCCTAAGTGTTGGCCGGTCTGAGAAATAAAGGAACAGAGTACAAAAGAGAAATTTTAAAGCTGGGTGTCTGGGGGAGACGTCACATGTTGGCAGGTTCCGTGATGCCCCCTGAGCCATAAAACCAGCAAGTTTTTATTAGCAATTTTCAAAAGGGGAGGGAGTGTACGAATAGGGTGTGGGTCACAGAGATCACATGCTTCACAAGGTAATAGAATATCACAAGGCAAGTGGAGGCAGGGCGAGATCACAAGACCACAGGACCGGGGCAAAATTAAAATTGCTAATGAAGTTTCAGACACGCATTGTCATTGATAACATCTTATCAGGAAACAGGGTTTGAGAGCAGACAACTGGTCTGACCAAAATTTATTAGGCAGGAATTTCCTCGTCCTAATAAGACTGGGAGCGCTATGGGAGACCGGGGCTTATTTCATCCCTCTGCTGTGACTGTAAAAGACAGCCGTCCCCAAAGTGGCCATTTCAGAGGCCTCCCCTCAGGGATACATTCTCTTTCTCAGGGATGTTCCTTGCTGAGAAAAAGAACTCAACGATATTTCTCCCATTTGCTTTTCAAAGAAGAGAAATATGGCTCTGTTCCGCCCGGCTCACCGGCAGTCAGAGTTTAAGATTATCTCTCTTGTTCCCTGAACATTGCTGTTATCCTGTTGTTTTTTCAAGGTGCCCAGATTTCATATTGTTCAAACACACATGTTCTACAAACAATTTGTGCAGTTAACGCAATCATCACAGGGTCCTGAGGCGACATACATCCTACTCAGCTTATGAAGATGACGGGATTAAGAGATTAAAGACAGGCATAGGAAATCACAAGGGTATTGATTGGGGAAGTGATAAGTGTCCATGAAATCTTCACAATTTATGTTCAGAGACTGCAGTAAAGACAGGCGTAAGAAATTATAAAAGTATTAATTTGGGGAACTAATGAATCTCCATGAAATCTTCACAATTTATGTTCTTCTGCCATGGCTTCAGCTGGTCCCTCCGTTTGGGGTCCCTGACTTCCTGCAACAGAGGTGGGTGGATCACCTGAGGTCAGGAGTTTGAGACCAGCCTGGCCAACATGGTGAAACCTCATTTTGGGGTGTGGTGGTGCATGCCTGTAATCCCAGCTACTCGGTAGGCTGAGGCAGGATAATCACTCGAACCGGGGAGGCGGAGGTTGCAGTGAGCCCAGATTGCAACACTATACTCCAGCCTGGGTGACAGAGCAAGACTCCATTACCAAAAAAAAAAAAAAAAAAAAAAAAAAAAAAAATCTCTTAGTTTCTGATGGTTTTCCTGACCATATATGTGATGCCAAAGTTGCTTTTTTGTTGTCACATCTATTGGCATCAAGTGCTGAACTTTTCATGGAGTGGCAATTTTTTGGTAATAAAGCAACTTTCAAAATGAGTCTAAGTTTATCTCTGGAAAAGTTTGAAAGAATCAGTGAAGGTTCTTTTAGACAGTACCCATGTTCTACAGATCAGCCATTCTCTGTCTCTCAAATTTTCAGTAAACCTTTCCACATAGGATGTCAGCACGATTTTAATACATTAAATATATGTAAAATAAGGCAAATTAAGACACAACTCCATCAACTCTCATCTGCTCTGGGCTTATTTCTCTTCATAGTACATAACACCATCTACGTCATATGCTTATTGTCTGTTTCTATTAGAGCAGGGTATTTTTGTTAGTGCTGTTAGTGTGCTCAGCATATACAGCAACACTTGGCAGACAGTAGGTGCTGAATGAAAGAATGAAGAAGAACAGAACTTATTTTACTAAAGACATTTTGATATCACTTTTGGGATAGGATACTATACATTAAAGATGATACACTGTTTATTCCAGAATGGTCTTAGCTACAGTGTTCACAGCACAGTATTTGTAGACTTAATGCTGTTATCCATTCTACCTTCCTTTGAGGTTGGCATGAGAGTTGCCCGTCAGCGTATGTGTGCTCTTAGAAATCAGGGACAATACTATCATTTTAAGCTTCTTGGCAGTGACGTGTACTTAACTAGATGGTGAACTCATAGGTGGATGGGGAGTATCTAATGCTTTTGTATTCTGCTTTTCAGCAAATAAATATTACCGTACTGTGTGTGTAACATGAGCTATATAAGTGTGTGATGATTAAATTAGAAGATAGGGTTCTCTGCAATCCAGTTTTCCAAGATAAATTTTTGCCTTGTTTTTCTTAGGTAATAAAGGTACCATATTGACTGTTGATATATGCCTACTTAGTCATGCTTCTCTTGCAGTAATCTTATCAAATTACCAGCTTTTTACTTTTTTAGAGAGACAGTCCTAGAATTGAGAATCCTCCTTTGCCTACATTCAAAATGAGACTATATTATGTGGGTAGGAAATTTCTGGTGACCTACTTTTAATTTTTAAATTTAAAAAAATATTAGCATAGTTTTATATTTAGAAAACAGTTGCAAAGGTGGTATAGAGAGTTTCTGTGTACCACACAGGCACCCAGTTTCCCTTGTTGCTAACATCTTACATGATTATGGTATATTTGTCACAACTAACAAATCAGTATTGATATATTATAACTAAACTGCATACTTTTAGGGGTAGTGACCCAGTTTTAAAGCTTATTTCCCACAATTTGTTAAAAATGACAATCAGTATTGAGTGCCCATGGGTGGTGGCTTACTGATTCTTCAAAGAAACTGAGTAATTTTGTAACCATTGGGACTTATCAGGAAATAAGGAACTCATAATAATGTGCGCTTAAATTTCCAGTGGAGGAATTGTACAGCTTAACATACGGTTTTGTAAGTTGGGTATTAACACATAAAGAGGCTGGGTGGGGTTTGATCACTATTAAAACTGATTTGTTTTGTTCCCTGGAAAATATGTTACTACCACATGGTCTACCCTTCATAGATAATCGAACCTAAGATCACTGGGCAGAAAAGGGTTGCCCTGTAGTAGGAAATGTGTCCTCCTGGGACTGAGTTGAGATTTAGTTTAGCACACAGAATAAGTAGCCAATGGCTGCTATGAGTCTGACTTCTATAATTCAAATTGGTATAAATTAAATCTAATTCTTTTCCCCAGGACTGCCCAATTTAAGATTAAGTTTTATACTGGCGCTTATTAGAGATATGGCCATTTTGCCATTTCAGTGGAACCTTTTAATCAGCTTTAATGCTGTCTTAGGTAAAGTAAAAACTTAATCTAAGGGCTTTTCTAGTTTGCCATCCTCAAAGCAGAAAAAGCAGCAATGAAGCAGCACTGCCTCATATAGACTCTGCTTTTATTAAATTTGCTTCAATAATCCTCTTCCAGTCATCTTTTGTGCTGCATATTTGAACCATAAAATAAGCAAAAATTGTACCCAAATGAAAATTTCAAGTTATTTTAATGAAGCTCTGGAAACATCCCACAGCTCAGAAGATGTTTTTTCCTAGTTTATTTTTTAAATTCTGGAAAGTAGGTCAGTAGACATACCCTGCTTTAATTGGTTTAATTAGAAGTGAAAAATTATAGGACTAACTCAATTTGAAGTATAGATTTCAATAAGAATTATACTGGGATGAATATTATTTAAGGTTTTGAATTTAAGATGCATTTAATCAATGCTTATAATTTCCTCTTGAAAAGATTTATATTGCAAAAAGGAACACTAAGTGTTGGAATATGTCAATATATAGGGAAAAACTTTGCCATGAAATAGAATATTTGATAAAATCATTTTAGAATTGTATCTCTAAATGGTATGCCTAAGAATATTGTTCTATAGGACCTTAATAGATATGCCTCGGGGGAAAAAAGTATTGTGTGCTCAAGTGAGTTTGAGATATACTGCATTAAATATAAGAAGTTGCCTGCAGGACTTCTCAGAGTCTTTAACACTTTCTGAATTTCTGAGACAAGATATATAGAGGGTACAGTACTTTGCAAACCTATTTATCCCTATACCACCTAGTAACATTTTTCAGGAAAATGTTTTGAGAACACGAATTTGACCTGTTTTAGGAATTTATACCTTTGACAATGTTGAGGACCTTGTCTTTTCCTATTATAATGATGATGTGATATTCACATATATTACTTTTTCCCAATTCTTTAAGATATTTTTCCAATGTATTATATTCAACCCTCTGCTCAGTGCCTTCCTTCTGCTAACTAAAGTGATGGTTTCCGTCTGTTGCTACACATCAGACATACTTGGCCCTGACCCTGGAGATTCTGTATGAACAGAAATGCCAGAATACCTGCTCAGGATTCTGTATTTATTACAAACACCCAGGTGATTCTGATGCAGCCAACACTGGTCCTCCAACTGATGCTTTGGAATTGTTGAACTAAAAGCATGCCTTTTTTTCTAGATGGATGAGTAGATTGGGGCATAGTTTGTGGTCCTAGAACACATGGGTTAACCATCCCTCCTAGTGAGAATGATAGCACAGGCCTCTGATGACCCCACGAGGTGCTGTGCTGGCTATAACCTAACATGAAACGATCATTATTCCTTAAGAAAAGCAGAATATGTCTAAATGGGCTTTTAGTCACCTTCCTAATAATGAAGTACCATATATATGACTACCATTTGTTTTAATTTCAAGTAATTCCCTTGTAGATGATGTTTTATTTATTCTTTTTTTTTTTTGAGACAGAGTCTCGCTCTTTCGCCCAGGCTGGAGTGCAGTGGCGCGATCTCGGCTCACTGCAAGCTCCACCTCCTGGGTTCACGCCGTTCTCCTGCCTCAGCCTCCTGAGTAGCTGGGACTACAGGCGCCCGCCACCGCGCCCAGCTAATTTTTTGTATTTTTGGTAGAGACGGGGTTTCACTGTGTTATCCAGGATGGTCTCGATCTCCTGACCTCGTGATCCGTCCGCCTTGGCCTCCCAAAGTGCTGGGATTACAGGTGTGAGCCACCGTGCCCGGCCTATTCTTTAAAAAGAATATTAGATTATATTTTCTAAATGTGCCAAGTATCTAAGAATATATTCTTTCACCTCCTGCTGATAAGAGTTATACATTTAACCTTAAGCAAATCTGCCAAGATTCTATGTCATTTATGCTTTGATTTATGTGAGTATTAATGTAGTTTCTGTGACTATTGTATGGTTATATATACCCTCCACCTAGTAAAACAGTTCCATATTCCTGGAAATGGTCTTTTACATCCTACAAGTGTAGCTGGAAAGGAATAATATAAATACTAATGGTTTGAGAGACAACTAGTCTTGACATGTCTTGGTTGAATAGTGTTCTATAAGCAACAATATATGAAATACTAGACATACCCATTAAAAGTAGAAAATACCCACTACTGTTTTAAAATTATTCTGCAAGATCTCATCAATGCAATGAGACATAAAACAGAAATAATGGGTGTAATTATTGAAAATTGGAGATAAAATTTTTATTACTTGTAAACAAAATTCTGTCAAAAACCTGACAAATTAAACAATACAATTAATATGTTTAATAGAACTAATTACATATGAGAGGCATCCAAAATCCATTTTTTCTATACAAACATGGTTTGATATACAGTCATTTTATCTGTATATTAATTGGTTTATGAAATAACAAATAGAAAAATCAAGTATGCATTATCAAGTTAAAGAAGCAGGAGAGATGGAGCTATAAAAACAGAGAAAAGAATGTTGTAAGGAGGGCTTAACGACCAGGATAAATGTTGTAGAGAGATCAATTAAAGTGATGGCCTAGAGATCACGGGCTTCCTTTGGCAGAGCCATGTTGGTGAAGTGAAGGAAGTGGAAGCCAGACCACAATGGTTGAAGAATGAATGTAATGTAAGAGCCAAGACATTTATTTGAGTCTGATAGTAATGAAAAAGGACGAGAATTTTCTTCTTGCTGTTGTTTTTGTCATTTCATGTTCAAAACCCTTTATCTCCCATGTGGGACTGAAAACTCCAAGATGGGATCTCTGTTTCTGTGAGGCCTGTAGTGCTTAGTACATCCTTGAATGTGTGAGGCTCTCATTGGTATAAGTTTAATTCCTGACTGTGGATGAAATCTTTAAAACTTTGCGGGCAAAATACAGAATGAATTTCAGTGAGTTCCCATGTATTAAACAAGGTGGCACTGGCTGGAGACATGCTGTCCCTGTGCCCACAGGAGTAGCAGTGCTGTGCTCATCTTCCTGACCCGCTCTTCACAGTCTTCACCGCCTTTCTTCAGGAGTCTCCCCTTTGGCTTTTCCACAGCTATGAAACCCACGTAGTCGGACACCCTAATGCTTCTCCTGCAGGGCGTGTGATGAGGAGGTGAGCTTGGCTTTGGAGTGCTGGGAACCTGAGGAATTGCCAAGGACCCAGAGCCCAGCCCTGACCACCCAGGGAGCCCAAAACACAATGAACAAATTGAATTTCCACAACAACAGAGTCATGCAAGACCACCGCAGCGTGTGCCTTTTCCTTCCCAATGAGAATCTCTGAACATCATCATAAATGTGAGTAGATCTCAATATAATTCTGATAGCTGGAGGATAGTGTATTTTCAGGTTTGCTGCAGGAAAAAAACTGGACTTTAAATAATTAAGACAAAATGATTGTATTAATTGACTTCTATTCTTAATCACTAATTTCATTTTTTATATTTCCCTTGACTTTTGGGGGAGAAATAGTCTTTGTCTCAAAAGTGGGCTTCAGTGACCTATGGGTTTGATAAAGCAACCAGAGATAATGAGACAAGGATATTTAATGGCAACATGCCAGCAATTATTATTAGTTAATTGAAAGCGTTTATGATTTTGGCCTGGGGCCAATGCTTTCCCCTTCTGCTGGACTAACATGTGGGTAAGGGAGAGGAAAAGCTTTGTTTCACTTTTTAAATAAAAGTATTACGTAACTTTGAAATTTGTATAAAATTAAAAGATAGTAAAAACAACTATTCTAACAGAATTCAAAACCTGTTATGCTTCAGTGGAGAGATTATTCAAGATAAGTCCGTGGGAAATTGGGAGTACATTTCTACTGGCAAAGTTAGTGATAACTATGCACTTCTGACAAAATGTGAAATGAGGGGTATGGGCGTGCCATATCATCATGGTGCAGATACGTGGATGTGTGCTTCCAAACAATGGCAACCTAACTGACTGCTGGAACCATACAAAATACCTGAAACTACTCAGAAAGAAGGTGAAAATTGCATGCAAAAATTATTTGAAAAATATTGAGCTAACACATGAATTTTGAATTATAAGTGAGGTATTGTAACTCACCTACAGATGTGTTTTTTGTAATCAATATTCATGGACTCAGACTACACAGTAAAAGCTTACATAGAAATCATTCTATCTAAACTTTCTGGATACGAAAGTAACCTAGTATGCGTTTTGCTACTATATCTTTATATGAATTTAAATCACATTTCCAAGTGGCTTACAGTAATCAAGGTTGTCACAAGGAAGATGCAAATTAAAACCACATTGCAATATCACTGCACACCCACTAGTACGGTTTAAAAGAAAAAAAAAACAGAAAATATCAAGTATTGGTGACAATGTGGAGCAAACAGAACTCTTTTTCAATAATGGCAGGTATGTAAAGTGGCACAAACACTTTGGAAACCTGTTTGGCATTATACTGTACTAAACCTGAACACACGCATTGTTTATGACCCAGGAATGCCCCTCCTGGGAACCAACAACAACGCATATATGTGTTGCATATGTTCACCAAAAGACATTTACAAGAATGTTCATAGCAGCACTATTTGAAATCACCCCCAAGTAGAAAATGCACAAATATTTAACAGTAGTTGGATAAAGTGTGGTACGTTTATGCAATATAATACCATATAGAAATGAGAGTGAGGGATCTGCAAACTAATATGCAACTGTACAAACGAATCCCACAAATATAATGTTGGGTGGCAGAAGCCAGATGCAAATGAATACATGCTGTAGATTTCATTCTTTTACATTAAAAAAGCTAGTCACACAAAGTTATGCTGTTAGAAGAGAGTGATTTGGTCGGGCGCAGGGGTAGTTACAGGAAGGGAGTACACGGAGATTTCTGGTTGTTAGTTATGTTCAGTGTCAATCTAGGTGCTAAACAGGTACAATAAAGATTTTAGAATTCATCAATTTGCACACTTATGATAGATGCACTTTCCTGTATGTATATTTCAATAAAATCTTTTAAAAAGTAAAATGACAAAAAGACACTATTAACAAAAATGACATATTATATTAACTGTTATACTAAGGAAAATATAAAAATGAGTTCTATAACAGGGGCTCTGCAGGTCATGTGGTCATGCCAAGGACCATATGTGCTCAAGATTCTCATGACATTTTGGAAGGAGGTTGGGCTTTCTTTATCTTTCCTTTCTTCTCTCCCTTCCCTTCCCTTCCCTTCCCTTCCCTATTTTTAAACCTAGGTTTGGTATTTTCCTGGGGTGATGGTGACTTTGGAAAATTGGGCCGGGGCGGAAGTGAAGGCTGCAACATTCCCCAGAACATTGAGAGACTAAATGGACAGGGGGTGTGCCAGATTGAGTGTGGAGCTCAGTTCCTACTGGCGCTCACCAAGTCTGGAGTGGTGTGGACATGGTACGTAAACGTCCTCCCCGTCACAGTGTGTGTGCTTGTGCCGGCGCGTGCAGGGAACTTGGGCCTCGCCCCAGGACCACCCCGGCGTGATTGTGACCTGTCATATTTTTACTTATGCATGCATCTTTGTCCTTTAAAGGATATTGAGTCGGGATTAGTGACAATAGTACAAGAAGAAATTTCCTATTGTAACTGGGTCATTTTGAAAATACTAGAAAAATTTTAGGCCACTTACCTTTCCTGTTTGGGCGAGATTTATAGGAAGTGTTTCTTCTGCTGAAGCCTAAGGATAAAATGAGAGCAAAATAGCCTTCTGAATCCTTTGATCCTGAGAAAGTTAACATGTATTTCTTGTAAAAGCTTATTATATTAATGTGCAAATGAGCAGGTGCCCAGACTGGCCTTGGATGCTGTGTCAGGCCTTGCTGCCTCTGGTCATAACATTGGCACTATTTATTTATTTATTTATTTATTTATTTATTTATTTATTTATTTATTTGAGATGGAGTCTCGCTCTGTCGCCCAGGCTGGAATGCAGTGGCACAATCTCAGCTCACTGCAAGCTCCGTCTCCCGGGTTCACGCCATTCTCCTGCCTCAGCCTCCCGAGTAGCTGGGACTACAGGCGTCTGCCACCATGCCCGGCTAATTTTTTTGTGTTTTTAGTAGAGATAGGGTTTCACCATGTTAGCCAGGATGGTCTCGATCTCCTGACCTTGTGATCCACCCGCCTCGGCCTCCCAAAGTGCTGGGATTACAGGCGTGAACCACTGCTACTGGCCGACATTGGCACTCTGAGAAAGATGTATACCAGATAGGACTTTGGATAGGTGTTTGCAGTAATGTGTCTTATTTTCAGTCTATATGAAAACCTACAACAGTAACTTAAATATTGTAGAACATGTATTAAGGTATTAAGGTTTTTCCCAGCTGACTTAATAAGTTAATTTGAATTAATGGTGTATGATTTTGAATACAAGTTCGAAGACCTTGGGTGCTGTGTGTGATGTCATTGAGCTGGCTGTGAAAGATGTGAGACAATGAGTGTCTTCTTGTATAGCATTGTCAGACCACAACTATATTGTAACACTCCACCACGGGCCTCCTTCTCAGGGGAAAGGGGGATTACTTCAGGTTGCGCCAGGGCTCTGACGTGCACGTGTGGAAACTGTAGGTGGTGGAAGGGCTGAGAGGGAAGAAGATCGTGCATGTGGCTGTCGGGGCCCTGCACTGCCTGGCGGTCACGGACTCGGGGCAGGTAAGGCTGCAGGTGGCCTGGGGGTGGCGTGCCATCCTGACTTGGGGGACGTGGGGGTCACGACATGGCCCTCGTCCTGTTGAAATCACAGCTGTTGATGAACTCAGCCGAGTCTTACTGCTTGAAGAACCATGAGGCCGGGACCCATCCGTTTTGCCCGCTGGTGTATCTGCCTGCTCAGCAGCAGGGGTTGGGGGTGGGGTCCTCAGAAAAGAGGCGTTCCCACTCTGAAGTCCACGTGAAAAGTGTGTGGAAAGATTGTTATCCTTTTTTTTTTTTTTTGAGACAGAGTCTCGCTCTGTCGCCCAGGCTGGAGTGCAGTGGCGCAATCTCGGCTCACTGCAAGTTCTGCCTCCTGGGTTCATGCCATTCTCCTGCCTCAGCCTCCCGAGTAGCTGGGACTACAGGCGCCCGCCACTACGCCCGGCTAATTTTTTGTATTTTTAGTAGAGACGGGGTTTCACCGTGGTCTCGATCTCCTGACCTCGTGATCCACCTGCCTCGGCCTCCCAAAGTGCTGGGATTACAGGCGTGAGCCACCGCACCCGGCCAAAAGATTGTTATTCTTGAAGATGCTCCTACTGCAAGGTATTAACAAGACTTTGCTTTAGGAAATTGCTAACTGGTGAGGAGGCACCCATGCCTCATTTTAGAGACAGAGCTAGTGCCTGACAAGTGTTACACTCTCTTCTGCTTGGAGAAGCATATGCTATGACCGGCTTGTGGATATTCAATTTAAAATTTTATTTATGAAAACAAAATTACCATTACTGTTTTTTAGTCAAAATGAATTATACTTTATAATTCTATAAGGCCAAGGAGCTACTTACTTGAAAAATGAGCATATTGTTTTTGGTCATTTTTCTTTGCAAAGTAAAAGGGAAAAAATTATTGCACTTAGTTGAAGAGAGGACCTTCTGTGTGACTTGCAACAAAGCAGAATTAATTTGATTAATATTAAGAAAATACTCCTTTTATGGTTATTGGCATTTTCATGGTTAGATTTTCTTCAGAATTATAGTACACCGATGCCATTTTGTAAGATTGTGAAATGGTTTGCTTTTACTTTTAAGAACTCAATTCTTTCAAATACCATGGCATACACGTTAAGCATTTTGAAGTAAAAATTACATTAAAGAAAATGTCCTGAAATGTTGAAAAATTATAAGCTTTTTTCTCCTCGTAAACAGGTGTATGCTTGGGGTGACAATGACCACGGCCAGCAGGGCAATGGCACGACCACGGTTAACAGGAAGCCCACGCTCGTGCAAGGCTTAGAAGGCCAGAAGATCATGTGTGTGGCTTGCGGGTCGTCCCACAGTGTGGCGTGGACAACTGTGGATGTGGCCACGCCCTCTGTCCACGAGCCCGTCCTCTTCCAGACTGCAAGAGACCCTTTAGGTGCTTCCTATTTAGGTAACACAGATTTGTATCCTGAGATTTTTCTGTAGGTTACAGCAACTTTACATTTATTTAATTGTGCCAACACATTAGAGGTTGTAGTGCTGCGTTAACTACATTATGAATCTAAAGACACAGAAGAATTATGGTGTGCTCTCATGCGATTTATGCTGCTGGAATGAAAGTTTTAGAAGAAAGTATGTTGCTGATTCTTGTGTTTATGATCAGGTAAACTCACAGCGCTGTCCTTGTGTGTGAACAGGACTCCTAATAACTGCCTGAGAGCTACAGGCACTGTACTGGGCTCTTTTGTATTTTTTAACAGCTTTATTCAGTTATAATTGACATATAATAAACTGCACCTATTTAAAGTATGCATTTTGATCGACTTTGGAATACGTATGATCCATGAAAGCATCAGCACAATCAAAGATAATGAACTCATACACTACCCCAGCGTTCCTCTCTGGCCCTCTGTACCCCTCCCTTTTGCTTTTACCTCCCTCCTTCCTGCCGTATGCACCAATTTAATTTCTGTCACTAGAGATCAGTTTGCATGTCTGCTTTTTGTTGTTGTTGTTTCGTGGGTGTTTTATTTGTTTGTTTTCTTTTTTTTTGTAGACCGGGTCTCACTCTGTTGCCCAGGCTGGAGTGCAGTGGCACGATCTTGGCTCACTGCAGCTTCCACCTCCTGGGCTCAAGTGATCCTCCCACCTTAGCCTCCCAAATAGCTGGGACTACAGGCACATGTCACCATGCCTGGCTAATTTTTGTTTGTTTGGTGGAGACATGGTTTTGCCATGTTGCTCAGGTTGGTCTGGAACTCCTGAGCTCAAGTGATCCTCCCACCTCGGCCTCCCAAAGTGCTGGGATTATGGGCAGGAGCCACTGTGGCAGGCCAGTTTGCATGTTTTACAGCTTACTATAAGTAGAATCATACAGCATATACTCTTTTTAAAAATCTTACTTTTTCCACTCAGCATAATAATTTTGAGATTCACTTACGTTGCATGTATCAATAGTTTATTCTTTTAAATTGTTGAATAGTATCTTAAGATAAACAAATGCAATTTGTTCATCCATTTTTCTGTTGATGAATGTTTGGGCTGTTTCCAGTTTTTGACTATGCAAGTGAAATTGCTAATGGACATTTCCATACAAGTTTGTGTATGGACATCCACTTGAAATTCTCTTGGGTAAACTTCTAAGAGAGGAGTGGTTGGATCATATGGTAGGTGTATGTCTAGCTTCTTAAGATCGCTACATACTGTTTTGCAAAGTGGATGTTCCAGAGGTCCACATCCTCCACATTTTTGTCAACCCTTGATACATTCAGTCTTTAATTTTAGTTATACTGACAGATGTATAGTGGTATCTCGTTGTGGTTTTAATCTGCATTTCCCTAATAACTAATGATCTCAAGCATCTTGCTTATTTACAAATCACATACCTTTTTTGGTGAATGTCTGTTCAAGTCTTTTCCCATATTTAAATAGGTTGTTTTCTTACTGGTTTGAGAGTTCCTTATATATTCTGAGTTACAAGTCCTTTGCCTAATATAGAATTTGCTAGTATTTTCTGTCAGTGTGGCTTGTCATTTTATTCTCTTCACAGGTGAATCTTAAAGATTAGAAGTTTTTAATTTTGATGAAGCCTAGTTTATTCATTTTATTCTTTTGTAGAGTGTACTTTTGATGTTGTGACTACAAAACCTTTGCCTCAAGATTATAAAGTTTGTCTTTCTATGTTCTGTTATAGAAGTTTTATAGTTTTAGACAGGTATATCTATGACCAGTTGATTAAATTTTATATATAGTGGGAGGTTCAGATTGAAAGGCTTTTTTGGGCATGATTGTCCAGTTGTTTCAGTTGTATTTGTTGAAAAACTACGCTTTTCCTACTGAATTGCCTTTTGCCTTTGTCAGAAATCAGTTGTCTATGGATGTATGGATCTATTTCTGGACTCCCAGTACTGTTTCATTGATTTATTTGTGTATTTTGGTGGCAATGCCACATTGTCTTGATTACTACAGCTTTATAAAAGGCCTGAACTCAGGTTGCAACAGTTTTTTAGCTTTGTTCTTTTTCAAATATATTTTGGCTGTTGCAGGCCCTTTGCATTTCCATATGACTTAAAATGAGCTTGTCAGTTTTTATAAAACCGCTTGCTTGGGATTTTGATGTGGATTGCATTAATTCTGTAAGTCAATGTGCAAGGATGGATTCACAGTATTCAGTCTTCTAACCCATGAACATAGTGTTTCTCTTTATTTGTTAGGTGTCCAGTACATAATGACACATGAAGAGGCAAAAAAAGTGACTAAAAATGACCAGAAATGATAGGAGAGAAACAGACCCACAAGGGCTCCATATATTGGAGTCAGAAGACACAGACTTTAGTATAATAAATATGCTTACTGTGTTCAAAAAGATAATATTTCAGCAGAGAACCAAAAACTACTGAAAATAAAATAGAAAGACTAGAACTGATAAATCCAATATTTAAAATTAAGAACTTAATGAGTAAGTTTAGAACACACTGAACTCAGCTGAAGAGAAAGTAAAAATATCTGGAATGAAGAACTGAGGAGCAAAAGTTTAGAAAACATAACAAGAAGGTAAAAGATCTGCAGGACAGAGGTTAGGCCTAACACAAGTGGAAGAAGAGTCCCCCCAAAAAGATAGAAAAGAGAATAGAGCAGAGGCAAAATGTGAAGAAATACTGAAAGACAGAATTTTCCAAAACAGACAACAGATATCATGCCCCAGAAGCCCTACCAACCCCAAGAAAGATAAACATCTCCATGCACATGTAAAACCTGTGCAAGATGAAAACAAAAAGACTCTCTGAAAAGCAGACGAAGGAAAAATAAAATGAACCACAATTAGACTTCCATCCAACTTCAGGAGAAATAATATAAACCAAATTGCAATGGAATACTATTTTTAAAGTGCTGAAAGAAAACACCTAGCAAAAAGACTTTTCAAAAATAAAGGAGAAATAAAGACATTTTCAGACATACAAAAATAGATAATTTGTAACCAACAAAGACACATTTTTAAAAATATTAAGGGGATTTTCAGGCAGGAGAAAAACAGTACAGATGGAAAATTAAAGAGGAAGAAAAAAGTGGAGAGAAATTACAAAGTATGCAGAAAAATCTAAATGAATATTGACTACATAAAATCGTCATATGCCCTGCATGTATTGTTTGATCCTTTGACTTGTTTTTTTGCTTTTTTTGTTTTTTGAGACGTAGTCTTGTTCTGTCGCCCAGGCTGGAGTGCAGTGGCACGATCTCGGCTCACTGCAAGCTCCGCCTCCTGGGTTCACGCCATTCTCCCGCCTCAGCCTCCCAAGTAGTTGGGACTACAGGTGCCCGCCAACACACCGGCTAATTTTTTGTACTTTTAGTAGAGACAGGGTTTCACCGCGTTAGCCAGGATGGTCTCGATCTCCTGAACTCCTGATTCACCTGCCTCGGCCTCCCAAAGTGCTGGGATTACAGGCATGGATCATGAGGTCAGGAGATCGAGACCATCTTGGCTAACACGGTGAAGCCCCATCTCTATTAAAAATACGAAAAATTAGCTTGGCATGGTGGCATGCGTCTGTAGTCCCAGCTACTCGGGAGGCTGAGGCGGGAGGAATGGCGAGAACCCAGGAGGCGGAGCTTGCAGTGAGCTGAGATCACGTGCCACTGCACTCCAGCCTGGGTGACAGAGCGAGACTCTGTCTCAAAAAACAAAAACAAAAACAAAAACAAAAACAGGCATGAGTCACTGCGCCTGGCTGATCCTTTGACTTTTTTTGAAATTTTGTTTGAGCATATGACCCACTTAGCATATGACTGGATTTTATGAACATTTTCTATGTGCATAAAAGAATGTCTTCGATAGTTCTGTTAGATATATATTTGTATAAAATGTATAAAATTTTGGCTGGACGTGGTGGCTCATGCACATAACCCCAGCACTTTGGGAGACTGAGGTGGGTGGATCGCCTGAGGTCAGGAGTTCAAGAGCAGCCTGGCCAGCATGGTGAAATCTCACCTCCACTAAAAATACAAAAATTAGCCAGGCGTGGTGGCAGGAGCCTATAATCCCAGCTACTCAGGAGGCTGATGCAGGAGAATCGCTTGAGCCCGGGAGGTGTCAGTTGCAGTGAGCCAGGATCGCGCCACTGCACTCCAGCCGGGGCGACAGAGTGAGACTCCGTCTCAAAAAAAAAAAAATTAAAAATTAAAATATGTTAAGAACATATAAATCAGAATGAAGATAAATGATGTTAAAGAGAACTAAGGTCTTTGCATTGTTTAGGAGGAGACTTTACTAAATAATAATAGATTTAAATCAGTCAAAAATAGATGTTATAATTAATATCTTCAGTAACTACTAAAACTAAAAATGTATATAACACATACACTCCTTATAGACAGAGTGAGACTCTGTCTCAAAAAAATAATAATTAAAAAAAAAAAGTAGAAAAGTTAGCTGAGCATGGTGGCACCGGCCTGTAATCCCAGCTGCTCAGCAGGCTGAGACAGGAGAACTGCTTGAACCCAGGAGGCGGAGGTTGCAGTGAGCCAAGATTGCGCCACTGCACTCCAGCCTGGGCAACAGAGTGAGACTCTATCTCACAAAGAAGAAAAGTGATATATGCATACAGTGGAATATTATTCAGCCATTAAAAAGGATGACGTTCTGACACATGCTACAATACGGATGAAGCTTGAAGACATTATGCTAAACACAAAAGGATAAATCTTACATGGTTCCATCTAGATGAGATGTCTGGAGTGGTCATATTCGTAGAGACCAAAGTTAGATTCAAGGTTACCAGGGTTGGGGTAAGGGGAAGTAGGGCAGTTAAATTGCTTAATGGGTACAGAGTTTCTGATCGGAGTGGTGAAAAGTTTTGGTAAGAGAAAGTTGTGATGGTTGTGCAACACTGTACTTAAGGTACTTAATACCCTGAATTATAAACTTAGAAAATGACTAAGTGGCTAATTTTAAGTTAAATATATTTTGCCACAATGAAAAATATAATAAAAGGTATACAAATTAAAACACTCACTCTCCATCTAACCAATTCCACATGCCACGCAACTAAACACTTACTAGTTTCTTGAGATTCTTTTAATGTTTCTTTATGGAAAAACAAGCAAACAAGCCTAGTTATTCTAATTCTTCCCCGATACCCCATCCTGATTTTTTTAAAAAGCCAGCCAGTCATCAGCGGGTAGGACCGTCACTTCCGTCTCACTGTACTCACTCTACAGAATTACCATATGCAAAGGAACCTTAAAATAACAAATTCCAGTACACTGTGGTCCACAATAAGTATTTCATTAATATTTGGTGGAAGAGAGAATATAAACATTCTGCCATACCTGGTTCATTTATTCTGCCAAATGTATGCCTGGTATTGTGTTTTTTGGTCTTGAAACACGTTTCACAAAAATCAAAGTCATCACAGTTTCTGCATTTGAATCTGGATCCATTGATAGGAAACATCTGACATCCATCACACCTATTTGTAAAATAGCAACTGAGTTAAGAAAGGTCATTTATTAAACTTAATTCAACAGAAAACCATTCGTCCCAAAGCAAATCTAGCAATCATAAAAATAACTCACGTAACCCCAGGATGAATACTGGGCACCAACTCCATTTCTGATAGCAACCCAGTCCAGTGAGACTGCTGGGGAAAGTCAACAATGATATCTTTTCCATTGGCACTGAAAGCCAGGACACAACAAAAATCACCTGATCCATCTTCCTCTTCACCAATAAAAACCTGAACTTAAAACTGCACCTAGCCATGTCATACTACATTGTAGTTATTTGTTTTTTACAAAGAGTCTATCTTTTAGAGATAGGTACTAAAATGCTTATGGATGAACTAATACATGATGTCAGCGCCTGGTTTCAAAATAATCACAAGAAGGGAGCATGAATAATTTTGGCCATGAGGCGACAATCGTTAAAGCCAGGTAATGAGCACATGGAGGTTCATTGTAAACTACATTCCTTACTTTTGCATTAGGTTTAAAATAGGACATTTTGGTTTCTAATTACACCAAGTCAACAATTCCATACAATACCTTTGGTATCTCAGGGAATAAAAACCACATTAATAACATGAAGACTTCTTTCATCCTTTGATAAGAGCAACGTGTCACTCAAAACAAAGAAACCAAATTCTTATTTTTAAAATTTGTCTTGTTTTGATTTGCAAATATTTTAACAATCTCTTAAGCAAAGAAAAATGTTTAAAGTAAAATATTAAATAATCCACTTGTTCTTATGTAACATGAGAAGCTCTAGGAACCTCTCACCACTGGGGAACCACCAACTGTGGCCATTTTCTAAGCGATCTGATGAAAAGAGAGGCTTCCACAAGGTTCAAACGAACAAACAAATAATCTCTTTATGCATCAAGAGTTTATAAAACTATACACATACTTATTTCTCATGCAACTGTTAAAACGGACATAGTGTGCCTTTCAAAGTGTGCCACGGATTTGATTTGGAATCTCAACAGTATCATATTAAATATAATCTGAGAATTGTTTCCAGTTCCTAATTTCCATCATTAGCACATTTCCATTTCTTAAATTCAGTCCTAAATTTTTATACAGCATGAAAAAGAGCCAGGCATGGTGGCTCACGCCTGTAATCCCAACACTTTGGGAGGCCGAGGTGGGCGGATCAATAGGTAAGGAGTTCGAGACCAGCCTGGCCAACATGGGGAAACGCCATCTCTATGAAAAATACAAAAATTAGCCAGGCACGGTGGTGGGCACCTGTAATCCCAGCTACTCTGGAGGCTGAGACTGGAGAACTGCTTAAACCCGGGGGCGGAGGTTGCAGTGAGCCAAGATGGCGCCACTGCACTCCAGCCTGAGGATCAGGGGAGGAGAAAGAAAAAGCAGTCCTGACAGTCAGGAGCTGGCCTGTTAATGTCAATGTTAGGCCATTTCACAGAACAAATGACAGGACAAGTTTACAGAACACGAACATCAGATAAGGCCACTCTGTGACTGATGAATCAAGGCACAACCAAAACCCCTCCTTAACCATGTGTGATTAAAGTTGAGTCTAATCCAAACCACAAACAACCACACAGTCCCCTATCCTGGTGATATGAATGACTGCTTCCTTACCAATCATGACGTTAGCATGGCTCCATTCTTTCTGCCTGCTAGGTAAATTTATTAAGACATCCTGTTTTAGGATTACCCCTGCTTTCTCGACCCCTCCCCCAAATACCCAACATAAACTTCATTAGTCCTCGCTCACTCCCTCTGATGGAGACACCCATTCCCCAAGGTGTGTGTTCTCCTGTACTGCAATGAGTTAATATTAATAAATCTGATTGTTTCACTGCAGGTGAGTTCCTTTGTGGCCTTTGGCAGAAGGCACTGACAAGCAAAGGAACACTCTATCTCTTTCTTCACACTTGTTTTCTGTTTTGTGTGCTTGAACAAAAAGAAATACTAAGTACATATGCATTAATGAAAAGTTAACATCAGGAATTTAATTACCCAGATGATATTACCTTTCACAACCCCCACACTCTGATGAGTCACAGATCCCCATTTGTATTTTGGTGTGGTGACAGAGGCTTTGACCCGCACTTTATCACCAATCTTGATGTGAGAAGAACTTCTTGGTGGAGGATAGCCTACAGATTTCAATAACAAATCATTATAATCAGTATTCATTTATGGGAATTCTGTCTCTAAGAAAAAGTAAAAGCACTAAACAAAGAATGTGCTCACCTATAAGTTCCACATGAATGTACCTAAACCAGTAGATGCCCCCTTTCTGCTGCCAGTCACACTGCACATTGAGATCATGCAATCCATCTCTGTCCAGCTTGATGACTTTGCCAACATCACATCACCTTCGCACACTTCTTCGTATGTTCGGCAGCATCTAACCATCATTCCCACCTAGAATTAAAATGAAATTGGAGATCCAGTCCATCATGTACACAGGTGAAATGAGCCATGATAAGTAGTATTACTCTACTCTTAATAAAGAATTTCAACTGGGCACGGTGGCTCACATCTGTAATCCTAGCACTTTGGGAGGCTGAGGTGGGAGGATCACTTGAGCTCAGGTGTTTGAGACAAACCTGGGCAACATGGCGAAACCCACCTCTACCAAAAATACAAAAATTAGCCAGATGTGATGGCACATGCCTGTGGTCCCAGCTACTTGGGAGACTTGAGTTGAGAGGATTGCTTGAGCCTGGAAGGTGGAGGTTACAATGAGCCAAGATCATACCACTGCACTCCAGCCTGAGTGACAAAGTAAGACCCTATCTCAAAAAAAAAAAAAAAAAAAAAAAAAAAAAAAAAAAAAAAAGAATTTCATCTAGCACCCAGAGTGCATTCTAAGTATTATTTAATGATAAAGGGAAGAGAAACTCTTTAGAACACTGTCTGGCTTTGTGTCTCAGGCAGGAAATATACAGGAAGAGGCTGGATCAACTTGTATCATAAAGGAAGGGAGCTTTCAAAGATTACTCAAAAGGATTCCCTGATCATCAAAAATATAACAGTGGAGACATCACACCCTAAAAGCCAATGGATTGGTCATCATGATAATAAGGAAAACAAAGCTTCCTGGTCATCTTTATACATATCAGAACACCAATGCATCATTGTGAAAACTGGTGAAGTCTCCCTGTATTATCAAGAGCAACCAAGATTAATAACAAAGCTTTTTTTCACAGAAGAGAATTCCAGCTAATGAACTCAGAGAAGATGAAGTTAGAAAATCACTATGGTGCAGCCCCTAATGATAGGTCTAGGTGATGACACTAATGCCTGCTGGAGCTATGAGATGGACAATTAATACAGAATGTCATCAAGGAAGGAGCAGGCTGACAAGACCTAACCCACCCAAACCTGCTTGCCTGTTGAGATGGGGCCGGAGGGAGTACATGCCTATGAAGCTTCCTGCCTGAGATTCAGCCTGGTCCAATCACCCTCCAACCCTAACTCCTACTGCATTGGAGAAACAGGGAGAGAGGAAGATGTTAGCCACAAGGAAGCCACCTCCAAATGCAGACTGTAAGACATTTGGAGGACATGGTTTCAGCCACAAATAAATAGCATGAAAGGAGAGGAAGGGAGAAGGAGGGTTACTATGAAATGAATGTTTGTATCCCCCCCGCAAAATTCATGAAGTCCCGACTCCTAATGTGGCAGTATTAGGAGATGGGGCCTCTAAGGAAGTCATTAAGGTAAAATCAGGTCATAAGAGTGGGGCTCTGACACAACAGGATTAGGGTCTTTATAAGAAGAGACTCCAGGATGGGCATGGTGGCTCACGCCTATAATCCCAGCACTTTGGGAGGCCAAGGCAGGTGGATCACCTGAGGTCAAGAGTTCGAGACCAGCCTGACCAACATGAATAAACCCTGTCTCTACTAAAAATATAAAATTAACCAGGCATGTGGTGCATGTCTGTAATCCCAGATACTTGGGAGGCTGAGACAGGAGAATCGCTTGAACCCGGGAGGCAGAGGTTGTGGTGAGCCAAGATCGTGCCACTGCGTTCCAGCCTAGGCAACAAGAGCGAAACACCGTCTCAAAAAAAAAAAAAAAAAAAAAAAAAGACACCAGTGCTCCCCTGCTAGCTCCAGCTCCCCCCATCCCCAGCCCCACGTCCACAGGAGGACACAGCAAGAAGGCAGCCACCTGGCCGGGCACGGTGGCTCATGCCTATAATTCCAACACTTTGGGAGGCCAAGGCGGGCAGATCACGAGGTCAGGAGATCGAGACCATCCTGGCTAACATGGTGAAACCCCGTCTCTACTAAAAATACAAAAAAATTAGCTGAGCATGGTGGCGGGCACCTGTAGTCCCAGCTACTCAGGAGGCTGAGGCAGGAGAATGGCAGGAACCCGGGAGGCGGAGCTTGTAGTGAGCTGAGATCACGCCACTGCACTCCAGCCTGGGTGACAGAGCGAGACTCTGTCTCAAAAAAAAAAAAAAAAAAAAAAAAGGTAGCCACCTACAAGCCAGGAAGAGGGCCATCACCAGAATCCAGCCAAGCTGGTACCTTGATCTTGGATTTCCAGCCTCCAGAACCATGAGAAATAAATGTCTGTTGTTGAAGCTGCCAGTCTATGGTACTGTGTTATAGCCAACTGAGCTAAGACAAGGGGGAACCACTCTAGCTTGGAATAGACTTCAAAGATCCATCAACCAAATGTAGATAAGGCATACAATCTTGGTTTATCCAAGTTCAAAAACTAACCATTAAAGCCATTTCTGAGAAAACTGGAAAACTACAAGCAAGCGTTAGATATGAGATGATATTAAGGAATTATTATTTATTTTGTTAGGTAATGCTGGTAAACAGAAATGTCATTATGTTAAGATTCTTTATTAGTGATACTCACTGACATATATACAGGTGAAATGAGATGATTTGGGGGATTTTCTCTAAAATATACTAAAACAAGAGAATTAGGACAAGAAATGATTTAAAGTAGATAAAGGACTATATAAAACATAATTAGATTTTTAAAGTTTGATGGCAATGAGAATTACATAAGAAAAACAAGGAAAGGTATGTAGGAAGTGTCACAAGTGGGGCTAGTAGAAAACAGCCATCTCTGCGCCATGTCCACCGTGGACAGGCCACTTGTGCTCTCCGGCTGCCCCTGAGCCCATCTGCCCCTCTGTCCTCTGGCTACACCGGGGCAGCCACAGCAGCCTCTGTCTGGGTGCCCATCCTGCTCAGCCACCCTTCACACCCTGTAGGCTTTGCACCCATGTCACCTTCTCATTGCAGATCCCGATCCCTGGACTGTGCCCTCACTCCTACCCCTTTACTGTAGTCTGCTCTCTCTCATTCCAGGGTACACAGCACCTTCTAGTGTACCATGAGCTCACTGGTCAGGTATGTCTTCCAGCACCAGAAGGCAGGCTCCCTGAGGGCAGGGGCCTCTGTCCACTGATGTTTGGCATATAGGACATACCCAGATATTTGCTGAGTGAAAAACGGATCGAGGCTCCAGCTTAAGACAATTACTCACCTGAATATTCTCTCTCACATATACAGCATAATCATCATTACCCAAGAAACCAGCTCGGTTTTTGTACGTCTGGCTCTCCGTCACAACAGCACCAGTAGACTACAAGAAATAAATACATTCAAAGAAAAAAAAAAAGGAGAACTCAATAAATCTACTCAAAAAGAAATGTCTGTGAAATCTATAATATTAAAAAGTAAAGGATGAAATCCTTTATTTTCTCTATAAAAATCTTCATTTAAAAAAGACTAATAGCAGTAGCATAGTAGGCAGAAATGAATCTCAAAAGCTACAAGTATACAAAATTTCCAAGGCACTTCCAAATTAATCCTATGAACAATTTACTCAGGTCAGAAACTGATGTGTCAAAACATGGTATTTTAATAAAATATCCTCTAATGGCTAGCGAAGATCATGAGATGTTTGAACAAGGGTCTGTTCTGAAGCTAAAAGTAATTATGATATAGAAACCCAATCATCCCTTCAGTAGTGAAACACAGCTTTGTTCTGTGCCCGGCAACACCATAGGTTGGTTTTATGAAACAGTCCACAGTAGATATAGTTAATTCTTTCAAGGGACAGAGAAAGCCAAGGTGTAAGACTGTTAGAGCGCTAGACGGACAGCGGCCCAGGTGCGGGCGGTCACATGGGAGGCACTGACCATGGAGTAGGCGGCATCATCCACGTCCTCCACCACCTCCTCGTCAGAATACTCGTCGGACACCGTGTCTGCATCTGAGAGCTCCGTGACCTGTATGTCGGAGTGGTCCAGCAGCCACCCGACCAAGGCTTCCACACCTAAGAGAGGCACACACAGCACAGCAGCCACTGTGAGTCAACAGCCCTGAAGCGGGAACCCACACACGTACAAGCAGAGGCCAGGAAAACGAAGTACCAGGCAAGCCGGACGCATTCCCGGAAGCACCAGTGAGAGACTTCAGGGCAAACTCGATGTTCCTTCTGGAAAATCCCATCTCCATGAGCTGCACCACGATCGGCAGAGCGGGAACGGGCGACTGCTTGCGCCTCTTCACTCTGGCAGGGCGGATGTGCTGCACGGCGACAGGCGTGGTGGCCTCACTGGAGCTGCAGTCTTCAAATCCTGGGCTCGAAGGGTGAGTGGACTCCACAGCCAAGCACTGGCAAACGGCCAGTGCAGCAGCCTGGGCAGACAAGAGGGTCCTGGGAGATTTGGGAAGTGCCCTCAGCTAGCTTACACAGTCTAGGAACACAGGGGTGATGGCCTTCTACTGTGAACTGCAGTATGCAAGTCTAGAAAGCCCGCATTCACATGTGTGTTTTTCAATGAGTTCCTAAAACATGTTAGAAAATGACAAAGCCAAGTTTCACGGTTTAATGCAGAGAAAATACGTGGGGGTAAAATAACTTGCCTGTTTCAGCAGACAGAGAGCCTACTAAATTAGCCAAGTATCAATGTCCATTAAGGAAAACTTCATTACAGCCCCAAGCGAACAGTCACAGGGGCTTGAAGGAGCAGGGAGAAAGGCATTCCCCCTGCCTTAACCAGGCACTGTGGTGGCGGCCACAGGCACCTGTGTTTTAGACAGGCCAGAAATGACACAGGACTCTCATGTACCATTAAAACAACCCTCAACTATTCAAGGGTTAAATAACCACAGTGAGGTTAAACAAGGTATTAAAAAGTAAGAGAAATAAAAGAGTATTAGTTGGGAAACACACTGCAATGAATCAGTGAACATCTAAACTGCCAGTCTCTGCAGCTGGGAACTCCCCACCTACAGCACAAATAGCACTTCCCTGATCTGTCTGTAACTCCCTGGTCCTCCTCCCCAGCTGCTCTCATAGCACTGACTTGCTATTTTGTTAAACGGAGCATGTGAGGAAGGAATCAGGAAGAAACCGAGGACACTGTGGAGCCCCCCGGTGCTCAGGAAGTATCAAAGCCTAGGGTTTTGCAGCGAAGTCTGGGTAACTTGGAAGTGACAGGTTTCATCCTAAAAGTTTAAAATTCAGAGCCAGATTGAGCCAAGAGTTCTGGTTCTGATAATGGGGAGTTAGGGTGCATTGGACTAACCCTTGGCTGATAATAATCATGAACTCTGGATAAAATATTTTTTAAAACTGCTTGAGGGCACTGGAGAACAGCTGACGCAATCAGCAATAAAACAAGCACAACCCCTGACACCGAGAAGCCTGCAGGTAAGACGCGCATTTAACCACAGACGGCGCACCTTCCTGCACTGCAGGGGCTGGGGTCCCGGCCTGCCAGAGCAACCAGAATGTGAGGGAAAGCCCGCCTGAGAAAGAAACCACAGAGGGAAAACCACGAAATATGCGGACGGACTACCCGCAAATCTACAGCTGAATCTAAACTGAAGCACCACTGAAGAGCCTGCGCTCGGCACAAAGGGACCGCTGGAAGGCTGCAGGGGCTCCCCAGCTGCCCAGGGCCAGGACAGCATCTGAGGCTCAAGCTCAACCAACTAGAGGTGGGGAGGAGAATGTCAAGGCTTCCAGTGACGCCCAGAAGAGATTCTAAATCCTTGAGAATTAAGGATCCACAACCAGGGCTAAGGGCAAATAAAAAATCATTAGAAAGCCTGGCACCAAGCCACCTCAGGATCAAGGAGGACTGCCAGGTACTGAACTGCCTGTGAGAAGAAAACTCCCCATTCTCCAGAGGAGGCAGAACCCAGAGCCAATACAATGTAGCGTCCAAAGAATCCAGAATGAAATAAAAATTCTCATATGTGAAGGACAACAACCAATAACTGACTATAATCAAGGGAAAAAAACTGCAAAGAGCAGCAGACCAACAGGTGGGCAGATGTTAGAATTAGCAAACAAGAAATTCAACATAACTATCAGAAATATGTTTTAAAATGTACAGCAAAAGATAGATTTGGCCAGGCACGGTGGCTCACACCTGTAATCCCAGCACTTTGGGAGGCTGAGGCGGGCAGATCATGAGGTCAGGAGTTCGAGACCAGCCTGGCCAACATGGTAAAACCCCATCTCTACTAAATATACAAAAATTAGCCAGGCATGGTGGCAGGCACCTGTAGTCCTAGCTACTCGGGAGGCTGAGGCAGGAGAATCACCTGAACCCAGGAGTCAGAGGTTGCAGTGAGCTGAGATCACGCCACTGCACTCCAGCCTGGTGACAGAGCAAGACTCCATCCAAAAAAAAAAAAAAAAAAAAAAAAAAAAAAAGATAGACTTAAAGGATGAAGAAAGGAACTGTCAGAAGAGATATAAAACTATTAAATGAGAGCCAAATGGAAATAAGAGATGTGAGAAATATAAAATAAAGTATGTCTTGGATGGATATAACAACAGATTAGGCCCAACAAAGCAAAGCATCTTGACCTTTCAAACAGATCAAGACAAACTAACCAAGCTACTAACAAGGAGAAGAAAGACTTTCTATTAAAGTCATAAAAGGAAACTCACTAACAGTGTAACAGATGTATAATAGTATTTCCAGAAAAGAACAAAAAGAGCAAGGCAGGGGGAAAAAACAGCAGTCAAAAGTTTCCAAATTTGGTAGGGGAACAAAAATCAAGCCAAAGATGCAAGCAGCTTAAATAAATTTCAAGGAGGACGGTGGGGTGGGCGGGGTGTGCCACCATTGTATACATGAGCCCAGCTTAGGGAAACTGCAGAAAACCAAAGATAACACAAAATACGAAAAGCAACCAGAGAAAACAGACATTTCATACAAAAGAAGAGATAAGAACAACGACTCTCCATCGGAATCCATGGAGACAAAACAGCGGAAGGTCTTTTTTTGTACAACAGTCCTTCTCAGTTCCTGAAGAACAACTCTACACGGCCTTCTAGGTGTTCACACTCGGCATCTCCCAGCATGACTGCAGGGAGCACGTGCACCGCCCCACGTGCTCTCAAGTTGCTCAGCGTCTTTTGATCTCTGCCAGGGAGACTGGAAACACAACCAGGCCCTTTAAAATGAACCTTCACCTCGGAGGTTCCCAGACCTGAGAAGAAGCTGGAGTTCAGAAGAGCTCATGGCCAACCTCCTCCCTTCCTGCCCACACCCGTTTCTTGCTTTCTCCCTTTGCACCCCCACCATCTTTCCAGCTCGTTCTAGGACTGGGGGAGGCCTCCCACCTGTCCAAGGCAGTGGCTGCCTCATCTGGACCCTTGCTCCCAGAAGGGCCCTGCTATCTGAGGGTTTCTGTTAGGGTAATTTCTGATTGCCAAACTGAGTACTGATAGTTTTATTTTTGTCTCTGATATTTTGTCCAGATTTTTAATGTATTACACAGCAAGAAAGATTTTGGAATGAACATCTCTAATCCTCTATGTTGCCAGCCATGAAAGCTCCCATCCCTCTTACACTCAATCACGTCGCCTCCTCTATGCGAACGTCCCGTAGCCCTGACCCTGTGCCTCGCTGCTGCCCTCACCTGCTCCACAGCATGGAGAGAGCGGAGAGGCTGGCGGCACCAGAGCACCCCCAAGAGGCTCCTGAGTGAATGAAACAGACAAACGGCTGCCAGAGTCCTGACGAGCCTCTTTGAATAATTCTACTTCCTGGAAAAAGATCCCTTCATGAAGATGTGAGCGTTTAACCCATGCTGCATCTAGTTAATATTTTTTCACAATTTACACAAACCCAAAATAAGGTTAAACTTCAACCCTCTCAGTCTTTAGTATTATAATGTTCTGCAGACTATGCACAAACATGGTTAAACCCCAATGAATCATTAGAATTATTTGCGTACTATCATTTAACATTCAGAATAGATCCTTAAGAAAATATACATCTAGAAAAAAAGTGTTCACAATTTAGTGCTGTGGATTAAAAACTGTCAAGGCTGCATGGCTGTACCTCAAGTTCCTGTTTATCAAATATGGCCTTCACAGGAGACGGCTGGGTGGCCGAGGCCAGCAGCTGCTGCAAGAGGATCATGGGGGGCTGCGGCCCTTCAGGAGACATGTCCCCAAGGTCAGGTGATACCACTGCTCCATCATCTGAATTTAAAAACAAAATATGTGTAAGATTCTATTTTCAACTGCGAACACCACTTTACTATTAAAGAAAATGCATTAAGCATGTTAAATCAGGTATGACTTCTGCCTCATTATGTGATAGAAAACCAAAATCTTCAAGGTTCAGACATCGAACAAAAACTAGACTCTAGGTTGGGTGCGGTGGCTCACGCGTGTAATCCCTGCACTTTGGGAGGCCAAGGCGGGTGGATCACGAGGTCAGGAGATCGAGACCATCCTGGCTAACACAGTGAAACCTCATCTTTATTAAAAACACAAAAAAATTAGCCGGGCATGGTGGTGGGCACCTGTAGTCCCAGCTACTTGGGAGGCTGACACAGAAGAATGGCATGAACCTGGGAGGCGTAGCTTGCAGTGAGCCGAGATCACGCCACTGCACTCCAGCCTGGGCGACAGACCAAGACTCGGTCTCAAAAAAAAAAAAAAAAAAAAAATTAGCTGGGCATGGTGGTGCGTGCCTGTAATCCCAGCTACTCGCAAGGCTAAGGCAGGAGAATTGCTTGAACCAGGGAGTTGGAGGTTGCAGTGAGCCAAGATCACGCCACTGCACTCCAGCCTGGCAACAGAGCGAGACTCCATCTCAAAAAAAAAAAAAAAAGGAACTAGACTCTAAACCACTTTCACTGCCTGCTTTTGGTCTCTGTCCTTCATTAGTGCATCTGTCTCTTAGAGCCAGCAAATGCTCCTTCCCAGATTTCTGCACTTGGTCTGATTCTTTCTCTTTTTCTTGAGATGGAGTCTCACTCTGTTGCCCAGGCTGGAGTGCAGTGGCACAATCTTGGCAAACTGCAACCTCTGCCTCCTGGCTCAAGCGATTCTCCTGCATCAGCCTTCCCTGTAGCTGGGACTACAGGCACATGCTACCACGCCTAGCTAATTTTTGTATTTTTAGTATAGATGGGGCCAGGCTGTTGATTAGATTTCACCATGTTGGCCAGGCTGGTCTCCAACTCCTGATCCACCCGCCTCGGCATCCCAAAGTGTTGGGATTACAGGCGTAAGCCACCATGCCTGACCTACACACTCTCTTTCATGTTCACTCACGGCTTCAGTAACCCCTGACACAGACACATCCCATGTGCATATTTCTAGCTGTAGCTTTTCCAGCTAAGCCTTGTTGAGATCATTAAGTGACCCCAATTCCAAATGTGTCATGTGCTCAGGGTGATGGCTTTTTGTCTGTTATGAGTAGCTTTAGGTGCAGCCTTTAGGACTCTGTTTGACACAGCCCCAGGGAGATCCACTGCGCTCAAGCCCACTTCACACATCTAGGTACTCATCCAGGTACTCACAGCATTTGCATGTGCTGGTTTTCTTCAGTGACAATTTCAACTAACTAGACCAGGAGCTGGAAATCTTTCTCTTAAAGGGCCAGAGAGTAAATAGTTTAGGCTGATGGGCTGTACAGTCTCTGTCCCAACTACTCAGCTCTGCCATTGCAGAGCAAAAGCATCCAGAGACGATCTGTAAACAAGTGGTGTGCCTGTGTTCCCATAAAAACTTACAAAAACAGGTGCACGGCAGTTTTGTCAATCTAGCTCTGTTCGGAGTCCCTGCTCGGCCCAAAGCACAGACTTGATCATCCTGATTCAGGTCTGCTGTAATTGCTCATCGGGCTGAGTGCAGAACAGAACAGCCAATCCAATTCCCAGGCTCCAATCTCCCAATCTCTACAACTGGGAAATCTTCATGTTCCCTACGACCTCTACTATTAATTGATTCTATACTTTCAATTGATTTCTTTCATCCTCAGCAGGTTTAAAATTAATTTCATAGCATCCTCTCCTCTTAAGAAGCAAACGCACACACTCCACATTCTACTGGACTTATTTGTTTCAAACACACTACTCAATATTCCTCCCTCAACTCAAGCTTGAAACAGCAGTCACCTTCCACTTTTTGCTGGTTCCCCATAAAGTTATCATCTACAAGACTACACCATCACAGTGGATGGCACCTTCCTTCCACCAGAACCTTCTTTCCCTTTTCATGCCTTCCCCCTCATCACCTGACGCAGGAGCAATTCTCCATCTCTGTCATCTCCTGTTTCAGATACTCCTATACCTTCCTAGCAGGTGTATCACCCGAAGGTCAATGCTTACCATGTGGCCCCTACCACAGCTTTCCAAGTGGGCCTCAAGTTTCACCCTGGTCTCCCAGGTACTCTGTAACAGGATGTCAGCTGCCCATCTAGCTTCAGCCCCACCACTCATCGAAAAACCCTGAGCTCCAAGAAGAGGAGAGCTGCTCAACGTGCTTCCAAAGACTCACCACGTTCACTCCTCTCCTCCTGCCTCCACCACCAGCAGAGTGCTTGTCTGCTGGCATCTGTCTGCCACAGCCTTCAAAGGCTGCCCGTCCAGTGCTCAGCTGCCACTGGCTCCAGACGCCTGTGGAACCACTCACATGCCTCACCGCCCCCTGGCCCCAGAGAACAAAGAGAGCCATCTGCATTCACTTCCTCTCCTCATCCAAACCCTAGAGAGCAATGATCATAGAAAAGGACTTCTCCGCAAAAGACTTAGCATAATGTCTTTCAATAGTTGGAGATCAAAAAATGTTTTTTTCTATTAAAAGTAACACAAGCTCATTCTAGAAAACTAAATATAGAGAAATATAAAGAAAATAAAGACAGCCAAAATTCCACCAAAGATTACTGGGTCACTGTTTTGCTAAACAGATAACTATGGCATATCTATAAACGGATATACATAGCAGTGTGCTTTTCTGTTCACTTATTGTTTTCATGTTTCCACAGCAATAAACATATACAGCTAGCCCTCCGTATCCATGGGTTCTGCATCCAAAGATTCAACAAACCACACATCAAAAATATTCAGAATAAAACAATTTTTTAAAATATAATTTTAAAAAGAATAGCAATAACAACTATTTACATATCATTTATTTTATTTTATTTTTATTTATTTATTTATTTTTTTGAGACAGAGTCTCGCTCTGTCACCCAGGCTGGAGTGCAGTGGCATGATCTCGGCTCACTGCAAGCTCCGCCTCCTGGGTTCATGCCATTCTCCTGCCTCAGCCTCCCAAGTAGCTGGGACTACTGGCACCCGTCACCACGCCCAGCTAATTTTTTGTATTTTTAGTAGAGATGGAGTTTCACCGTGTTAGCCAGGATGGTCTCAATCTCCTGACCTCGTGATCTGCCCACCTCAGCCTCCCAAAGTGCTGGGATTACAGGCGTGAGCCACCGCACCCAGCCTATATATCATTTATATTTTTAAAGTATTTCGGAGGATGTGCATAGGTTATATGCAAATACTACACCATTTTATAGAAGGGCCTTAAGCATTAGTGAATTCTGGTATAACTGGGGGTCTTGGAACTCATCCCCATGGATATTGAGGGAAGACTATACATGTACCATCATTTTGAATGGCACCATGATATCACACTGTACGGATACACAACATAAGAATGGGTATTTTGGTGTCTACAGTTTTTCAATACAAAAACAATACCAAAAAGGAGGCCATAACGACACTGTTGAATACATTATTTTTATTTATTATTTTTTTTGAGACGAAGTCTCACTCTGTCACCCAGGCTGGAGTGCAGTGGCACAATCTGCACCCTGCAATCCGCACACACGGCAACCTCCGCAACCCCCGGTTCAAGTGATTCTCCTGCCTCAGCCTCCCAAGTAGCTGGCATTACATGCAGCCACCACTATGCCCCGCCAATTTTTTTTTTTTTTTTTTTTGAGACAGAGTCTTGCTCTGTTGCCCAGGCTGGAGTGCAGTGGCGCCATCTCGGCTCACTGCAAGCTCCGCCTCACAGATTCATGCCATTCTCCTGCCTCACCCTCCCGAGTAGCTAGAACTGCAGGCGTCTGCCACCTTGCCCAGCTAATGTTTTGTATTTTTAGCAGAGATGGGGTTTCACCGTGTTAGCCAGGATGGTCTCTATCTCCTGACCTCGTGATCCGCCCGCCTCGGCCTCCCAAAGTGCTGGGATTACAGGCATGAGCCACTGTGCCCAGGTGGTGAATACATTATCTTTACATGCCTTTTCGTGTGATAAAGTCCCACAGAATGACTTGCTGGGCCAAAGTATATAAATACATACATACATCTATGCATTTCAAAGTCCAACTCATTTCCTCAGATGCCCATTAGATGGCTACACCAACTGAAATTCCCAGCAGCAGCGTGTTCATGGAGTGCGGCTTTACGCGCATTTGAAGAATCAGCTTAGGTTCATCTTGTTACAATACAGGCTCTATTTCTTTGGTCTGGGGTGCGGCCTGGGAGTCTGCATTTCTAACACATACCTGTGTGCCACCAGTCTTGCTGACCCATGCAGCACACTTTAAATGGGAAGGCATGAAAATACCTTTTTCCCTCCCCACCCACCAGATGCCCTCAGTCTTGTCTTATAAGATGACGATGACAATTTTATTCACAGTTGGTGGTTGCTGGGCAGGCCACGTGTCTGTTTTGTACATTTATAAGCCACCTATGTCCATTTTTATGAACTGATTATTCACTTCCTTTGTCTACTTTCTACTGCCCTTCTTATAAAGATTTAAGAACTTTTTAAAAAGACACCTGTGTGAACACTTCCAGTCTCCTGAACAGCTGGCTGAGACAGGATCTGCCGCAGTTTATCCTGGTGGGAGAACAGCGCCCGACCTGCTTTCAGGATGTATAGCTTCAACTGCTGGCACCGCAGCAGGTCCAGGTCCACTTGTCCTGCGGAAGGAAAGACTCAGTGAGAAGGGCGTGCCCTGCTCAGACTCCCTCCTCGCCAGCAGCAAGCCTCCGCCACATGGCGACGAGTAACGCTCTGCCCTTCAGGAATCTGCCGACCGCACACACTGTCCGTGACGAAGGGCTTGCCTTTCCCAGAGTTACACTCGGTGCTTCTGGGTAAGCATCTTCTGCCTCCTGGGTCTTCCTTCCCTGCTCTCCAGGCACCTAACTTGATAGGACGCAGGATTCAATGGGTTTAACACGGTTAGAACCATGTTAGCTACTATTAATATGATCAAATGTTCCCCAAGTTGCTGAAGTTTCAGCCGCTTCCACTCTTCTTCTAAGACTCCTCTGAGAGAATCTGTCAGCCCCACTAGCTCTTTAACTGATGAAGATCGCAGCAATGCCCAAGGCTTATCTGATAGCAGAGGCCGCAGAAGCAGCACAGAGAGCATGGGGTGGGAAGGAAGGAGGGCCGCAGGTGCCGCTCGGACACTGGCTCAACTAACTGGCAGACAGGTTTATTCACCACGATGGGAAACGGCAGCTACTAGAGAAAGCCAGCTGAATTTCGGACATGTGGTGATTTGCATGCACTGCACCTCCAACCAGAGATGTGAATGGGAGATCCAGAGTTGAAAGTGCTTACATCATATATGCTGAAGCAGCAATCGTAGGTCTGTGGGAGCAAGAGGGGAGAAAACTCAAGAAGACTGGGCAGAATATGCCATAGTTATGGGTGAAGCCACACAGACTTCCAGGACATAAAGAATGAGCAGAGAGAAGAGCTCCCTAGAAACATGGAAACAAACTCAGGAGAGCCGCATTCTAGACCCGAAGGAAGGCAAAGCCAAGCCAGGCTACAGTCACAGTCTTAGCCATCCTGAATGTCACAGGCAAGCCAGGCGCTTCCGGGACAGAGGCCCCTGGATCCGGCAGAGAACAGGCTGTGAGCCATGGTCCAACAGGGTGACGGGGCCACAGGGCCCTGGGATGGAGGGGAGGAGGGAAGAGGTGAACAGACTTCTCTTCCGGGATAAAGGGTGACACGGAGAAGAGGGTGTGAGCCATGGGGTTCTTCAAGTGTGGCTCCGAACATGGCGACAAAGGCTGACTCGAAAATACTCATTACCACGAACACAGGGTTACATTCCCAACCGCAACTCAACAAATGGTGAGCCCACGTGAACCCCAGGACTTTGGTATGTCCGTGAATTCACTCATAAAAGAACACTGTACAAACGACACGAGTTTAAGATGGCAGCTATTTCATCAAGAAGCGCCATGTACTGACCTGCAAAGGCCTGTTTAGTCGATTTCTTTATTTTGTGCTTTTCTAACTTGCTTCCAGCGAGGTTCACCAACTGAGCCCAGACAGACAGCATGGGCTCTGTGAAGGGCAGGTTGTTCACATTAAAGGCCACGGCAGGGAGCTGGAGAGGACACAGAAGCTGTCAGAGTGTGGCCAATATGACTAACAAATGAAACGTTCTGAAAGTCATCAAAACCATGGGCTTAATCCTGAAATGCCACACATACCCGTAAGCCTTTTTATAGCTGAGAATAATCATTTTTTAAAATGACATTAAAGGCAGGATAGAGATTTACACATATAATAAGTATAATCTATATTAATTTTTCTTTACAAACCTGTCAACAATAATTACATCAGTGTGGTGGTTACTATCTTCTCAGATATTTTCTATATACTTCAAGTTTTCTACAACATGTATATATTCCTATAATAATAAAAAAGAGTGCTTTATAGAAAATATAGTCAGGCCGGGCACGGTGGCTCATGCCTGTAATCCCAGCACTTTGGGAGGCCGAGGCGGGCGGATCACCTGAGGTCAGGAGTTTGAGACCAGCCCGGCCAACATAGTGAAACCCCCATCTCTACTAAAAATACAAAATTAGCCAGGCGTGGTGGCACACACCGTAATCCCAGCCACTCAGGAGGCTGAGGCAGGAGAATCGCTTGAACCCGGGAGGCAAAGGTTGCAGAGGGCCGACAACATTGTGCCATTGCACTCCAGCCTGGGTGACAAGAGCAAGACTCCATCTCAAAACAAAAAAGAAAAAGAATATATAGTAAGATTGCACTTGGGTTACATCAGAATAATGTAAATGGCTCCTTCTCCCTGTGCATCCTTGATTCACAGATTAAGATGACAGTAGCTGCTACATTAAGTCACGTCACTCAAAACTACTAAGCATTTTCTACATGAAGAAAGGCTGTTTTTTTAAAGGTGTTTAAACATGTTTGTTTTTTTAAAACTTGAGTTGTTGAATAAAAAGTAAACTTCATAAATTCACATTTTAAAATAATTAGAACTACCTCATAGATGCACGGTACCTTCTAGGTTGCTAAAGCCCTCTTCGTGTCTCTGAGGCTGAAATACACACGAACCACTGCTTTAAGTGCCCTGTGAGACAGGCCCTGCTTACCACAGAAGCACAAGCTCACACAGCTTCCTGGAAGGCAAACTTCAAGTACCAGAATCAAGTTCTTTCAAGTGCTGATGTTGGTGCTCGGTTCTAGTGTAAAGTCAATTTCCCTTATCATGCAGTAACTAAGCACAAGTTCACCTACTGGTTTCAGCTGATTCAATGGGCAAACGCGACACGTCCGCATGTCAGAGAACTGCACGGTGATTTTGCCCTTCAGGGTGATGCGAGTCATGGTGACTTCTCCAAAGTCATCGTGCACAACTTGGCCACCCAGGCGCAGGCGACCATCGATGCCTCCAACCACAGCCAGGACCGCCATGAGGCCCCCCACTTCAGGGTTCTCGGAGTCGGGGAAGTAGTCCTCTAACTGGGCCTAGTGCAGACCAAACAGCGAGCTCGACCGGGGACACTCACGGAGCTGCCCAATCCCTACAGGTTTACTGTTCAACTAAATTAATTCTGAGAACACAAACCCACCCCTTCGGAAGGCCTTCCCGCAAAGCTGTGGGTGATGGAGCGGAGCTGGGAGTTGATGTACTTGTTGATGAGCCCATTCCACTGAGTCAGGGAGTGCAGCGTGTGCAGCAGTGCCACCACCTCCTCCACCAGTGTGCTGCTGTGGGTGGCAGTCAGCGAGGCCTGCGGGCACACCCTGCGCCACCTCAGCATGGACTCTGAGGAGGAAACCAGGGGAGAAGCTGCTGCACCGCTCTTCACCAGGGCACAGGGAAAGGAGACGGCCACTCACCTCTGAGTAACGGCACGTCAGAGGAGCACATAGTGAGCAAGCTCCCCAAGAAGTCAAACAGCTTCTCCACGAGGCATTTCATGTCCCTCGCCCTTTCGGTCTTGTCCCATGACGGAAGGACTGCTTGCAACAAATGCACAGCTAAGATCTGATAAAAGAAAATTTACAATGACAAGCATTAAAAAAAATCTGATGAGGAAACTACAGATTGTTATTTTCTTTTTTTTTTTTTTTTTGAGACAGAGTCTCGCACTGTCGCCCAGGCTGGAGTGCAGTGGCACGGTCTTGGCTCACTACAACCACCACCTCCCAGGTTCAAGCGATTCTCCTTGCTTCAGCTTCCTGAGTAGCTGGGATTATAGGCACTCACCACCAAGCCCGGCTCATTTTTTTTGGATTTTCAGTAGAGACAGGATTTCACTATGTTGGCCAGGCTGGTCTCAAACTCCTGACCTCATGATACACCTGCCTCTGCCTCCCAAAGTGCTGGGATTACAGGCATGAGCCACTGCGCCCAGCCTCTCTTTATTTTCTGTTCTCATAATGCAAGTAATCATGTGAAAATTTTGAGATTCATTATTTTACAGCCAGGTAATTACACTCAAGTTGATTAGTGATTAGGATTGTCAGGGACTTTAGAAAAAAGCAACATTACAGATGCATGTGTTTAATTAAAAAAGAATTATTTTTAGTTTAATTCTTAAGACAATTACACTACAAATTCTGTGAAGCAGATGAGTAAGTAGTTGCAGGATTTACCACTTAAGAGAAAAGCAGGTAAACTGAAGGTTAGCAACTTACCAATTATCAAGGACCTCTGCCCCTTGCCTCCAGAAAATCTACCCTGTCACTTCTAGACCCTTTCTGCACTCGTTACTGAATAAAGGCCCCTGACTCTGAGGGCAGGGAACTTCAGTACATGGAGGCCTCTCTCAGGGAACTGGTTTTGCCTGGCAGCACATTACCTGCCTCTGCAGCGAGGTGGCAGTGAAGGGTGCGTGCCCTTCCACGACCTTCATGAGCAGCGTGATCCACTGCAGGGAGCTGAGGGCGCCGCACACCTGCAGCGTGAGAGCGATGCTCTGCACAAACCCCAGCGTGCACCAGCTCCGGTGTTGCTCCCTGTACACCAGCCTGTTTGGAGAAGCTGCAGGAGGGAAAATAGACATGCTTGGTAACAAGTCCCTAAAGACAAATCCCTAAAGATATATCCTTATTTTTTTATCAACTTATTTTCTACAATAAGCTCCTTTAAAATATATTGCAGTTTGTAAATTAATTCAAACTAATTCAAAGTGAGAAGTGGAAGGCGGCTTTTAAGTTAGTTCAAGAAACATTTCCGAAGTTTTCTTTTTTTTTTGTTTTTTTTAGAGATGGGCCCTCACTGTGTTTCCCAGGCTGGTCTAAAACTCCTGGGCTCAAGTGATTCTCCTGCCTTGCCCTGCCGAATAGCTGGGACTACAGGCATTTTTAAAACCTTCTAAATATGTGTCGTAAAAGTAGTTAGGGAATTTTAGCTATGTATTGTTTCTAGGCAATAGGAAAATGATCTATAATTCAAATAGTAATTTGCAACAGTGCATCTATTATATTTTTAATTTCGTGTTTTAAATATCTCCACAATCTTGCTTATATTTAATCTGCACCACTTAAATACTCTTTTTGTAATTTTAGTAGAGACAGTTTCCAATCCAAGTTTAATGCATCTGCATTAACAAAATGAGTTTTTCACTAGGTTTACACCACTGGATTCTAGCACCAGTGGGCCCACCTCTGCTCCGCCTGGCTCCAGGACTCCACTACTCCCTGAATGGAGGCTGAGGCTTGGAGGCTGGGCCCCCTGAGGGACCCCGCCCACAGCCCCACAGGACCTGCTCTCCCTCCCACCTCCCCCACCCTGCCCTCAGCTATCCAAGCTTATGAGGACACCTGCCTTCCTTCAGCACACTCACATGCGCTCACACACACACACACTCACTCTCACACCCTCATATGCATCCTCACACTCACACTGATACTAAGTTATTCAGACACACTCATGGGCACTCATACACCCACCCTCACACTTTCAGGTGCACTCACACCACTGTCGCAATCACTAACACACACACAATCCCAGTCACACGTATGCACAAACAGATGCAAGCTGACACACACTCCCATGCACTCTCACATACACTTACCCCTCCCAATGCATACAAAAACTCACATATGCACTCACACTCCTCAACACTAGTAACGACCGATTACTCACCCACTCACACCTTTACCCACACACTTTCTCACTTTACACTCACACCTATACTGTTATAACCTCCCATTCACTGACACAAGCAAAATGCTCACATTCACTCACACGCATTCACAATAACATCACTCGTGCTCACACTGACACAAGGCACTCATACACATTTACACAAATGCTCGCACTCAATCGCACACTTACACTTGTGCCTGCCACCCACTCATACTTCCTCACACTCACCAACCCTCACTGACTTACACTTACACTGGGTGTCTCATTCGCACACCCAGTAATCCCCTCACACTCACACTCATGCCTCCCTCGTGCTCACCCTCACACACACACTGGCTCAATGCACTGACGCTTTCACTCCCACTTCACCTGAATGTAGTCACCTGCCCACTCACATGCTCTCATGGACACACACCCACACAACCACATGCTACAAACACACCATCACACTTGCAACACAAACGCTCAGCCACTTGCCCATCGACCACTAACACACTCACTCTCATCAATATGTGCGGACGCTCCAGCACACCACTAATACACGCATGCTCTCACACACACACTGGAGGACGCCCACATACCCACCCACACTCACATGTGCTCACTCGCAGTCACATGCACACTCACCCCACTCCCTCAGCTCACATTTCTCATACTTACTCTCCACACACACAAACACTTTATGGATTAAACTGTGCCTGTCCTCCAACTTCACATACATTCGGAACCTCAGAATATGATCTTATTTAATGAGGTCTCTGTAGACGTCATTAAGGTAAGAATTTAGGTGACATCATGTTGGATTAGAGTCAAAGAAACTCAATGAAAGAGTCCTTTCAGAGACAGAAAAGGACATGCAGAACACAGGGGCAGGGGCCATGTGAAGACGCAGGCAGAGACTGGCACAATGCGTCCCAACACCAAGGAAGCCTGGAGCTCCCAGAAGCTGGACAAAGTAAGGAAGGACCTTCCCCTAGAGCCTGTGGAAGAAGCATGGCCCTGCCCGCACCTGGATTTGGGACTTCTGGTCTCCAGAACTCTGAGAGAACAAATTTGTTGTTTGAAGCCAGTGTTACGGGTTGAATTCAGAATTGCAAAATTCGTATGTTGAAGCCCTAACCCCTATCGTACCTCGGCAGGTGACCTTGTTTGGAAATAGGGTCGCTGCAGATGTAATCAGTTTGATGAGGTTGAATGATGTCCTCATGAAAAGGGGAGATTTGGAGGCGACTCACACACAGGGAGAATGCCATGTGAAGATGACGGCAGAGATAGGGGTGACACCTCTACAAGCCGAGGAACGCTAAAGAGACCAGTAAACTCCAGAAGCTGGGGCAGAGCCCTGAAGCAGCTTCTCCCTCACAGCCCCAGAAGGAACTACCCTTGATCTCAGCCTTCCAGCCACCAGAACCGTGAGAATTTCTACTGTGTAAGTCCCCAAGTTTGTATACTTTGTTACAGCAGCCACAGGAAAGGAATCCACACACATCCACACCCACCCACATGCACACCCAGACACGACAAGCGTGCGGCCCCCAGCGCTGACTCCCTGGGCCCTCGATCTCTCATTCCATACATGTCTTGTCCGTCATTCCGCTTTCCACTAACATTTGCAGCAGTCCGCATAAAGTCTTGGTGGCTTCACTCTGCATGATCTCAGCATGAACTCCAGCAGACAGACAAAGAGTCTGCAGTAAGTTAATAGTGCTGGTAAACATCATTGCAGTGGGGTGAATGTTCCTTTCAGTTTGTTCGGCTTCTAAAAAAAATAATCAAAATTACAAATTATATTGGCAGCCCCAGCCTCTTGGATGGTCTTACCAAGCCCAACCATGTGAAGCTTCACGTGTTTTAGGAACAGCTAAGAAATGTCACGAAACCTCCTCCCACAACCTGGATCTCCACAGATAGGATCTAGCTTTCTTGGTCCACCCCTAAATTCTCACCTCTGCTTCCCTAGAAGCGATAAAGTGCTGACTAACTCCACATTACATGAAGAGTTCAGAGTCAGGGACCACAGAGGAAAGGTAAAGGCAGGTGGCAGGTGGGGTGTGCTTGGGCAGGGGCTCTCACTGGAGGAGGACGCGATGGACCGAGACCGCAGGGCAATTCCACCAGGCCTCGGCTCACTCGCTCAGATGCAGGCTCAGCACCAACCACATGAGACTCACTGGTGATGCAGCTGCCCCCACCTGGCCACCACATTCTCAAAGAGGGGCGGGTGCACACATGAGAGGAAAATGCAGAAAGTCAGTTCCAGCCAGATCGCCGGATCCCACAGTCACTCCACACACCTGCATCGGAGGTGCCTGGGAGCTTATTTAAATTACAGGTTCCGAGGACAGAGCGCCAGCTGCAGGTGTGTCCTGACATCCCATTCTAAGGCCCAGATGGCAGTGGCAGCACCCAGCAACTGGACAGTTTGTAGGCTGCCTTGGACTAAACACCTTCCTGAGTCACCCACCAGAGTCGTCCTCTGTGTCCGAATCCTCTGCTGAGGGCTGTGCAGGGGCTGGCAGCTCTGCCAGCTTGAGGTCGTATTTTCCTTCTTTCCCCATCCTGTAGGAGTTGGTGCTGCCTGTGTCCCACTGGACTCTTATCCACCCGTCCTCTCCCAGCTCACCAATCACTCGGCCTAGGCCTGGAGGAGGCCCATCCTGAGAAAGCCAAAGTAGAGATCAGTTAGGAGGGTGCGTAACCTGCCCTGGTCCTTCCATGGCTCCCAGCAGACCTCAGTTAGGAGGGTGTGTGCCCTGCCCTGGTCCTTCCATGGCTCCCAGCAGACCTCAGTTAGGAGGGTGCATGCCCTGCCCTGGTCCTTCCATGGCTCCCAGCAGACCTCAGTTAGGAGGGTGTGTGCCCTGCCCTGGTCCTTCCATAGCTCCCACCAGACCTCAGTTAGGAGGGTGCGTGCCCTGCCCTGGTCCTTCCATGGCTCCCAGCAGACCTCAGTTAGGAGGGTGCCTGCCCTGCCCTGGTCCTTCCATGGCTCCCACCAGACCTCAGTTAGGAGGGTGCGTGCCCTGCCCTGGTCCTTCCATGGCTCCCACCAGACCTCAGTTAGGAGGGTGCGTGCCCTGCCCTGGTCCTTCCATGGCTCCCACCAGACCTGCCACACAGATGTCGCCATATGCCACCCTGTCTGTCAGGGGCTGTCCCCAGACACAGATTTCACCTCTCCTACAAAATGTGTGCTTGCATCATTTTAAATTAAATGGCATAAAATAACGTGCTCATGCTGCTTTACCAAGGAAGTCGGGGAAATCTCATCTCAATGAGGATCCTCTGAGTCAATGCAGAGACAGGGCTTTGCAGCAAGTCCTGTCCCCACAATCCCTCACGGGCCTTGCAAGAGCGGAAACCTGAAACAAGCACCAGCACCTCCACATTCCCTTTGCTTCAGTTTCCCCTGGGCCCCAGGGGGAAGCTCTGTCTCTCACTTCTGCAGGAGAAAGCTGTTTCTAGGATGGATGCTGTCTCCAGACACTGCTATTTCTAAGATGACTGTGACAAAGCCAGGGCTTACCAGCGTGGCTGAGAAAAGCCAGACAGACCATGGGAAGGTGAACACTGCCCTAACTTAGCTAGGGCTGTGGTAAGTGACTTCCACCTGGGGGCACCTGGCAGAGATTTAGAAGAGACCTGCGATGAGGGAAGATGGAAACGTGGCCACAGGCCCATGAAGTAGATCCCTAACTACTGGCTTCAGGGCACTTCGCAGCACATGGCCATCAGCCCACAGGGGCAGCATCTGGGCTTCCTGCCTCAGAGCCTTCACTACACCAACTTTCAGAATGAGATTTACTCTCTTGCTCACTCTCACACTCTTGTTCCAGTGACCCATCAAACTGAGCCTCATGCCAGTGAGTTTCCTGAAAAGAGCTGCCTCTCTTTCCAGACTTGATTCTGCTCAGATGCCCTACTTATGATTCCCTGTTTGTGTTCACTCCCTTCAGCTGCTCGGGAACCAACACCTGTGTCATCGATCAACTGACACATCCTGGATTATTCCAATTTCCACCCACCAATATCGTACAGAACTATGCAGAAGATAACTAATGTGTGGCTAATGTGTTCACATCAAATCTCTGAGTACCTGATCGCCCCATTTCCAGTCCACACCTCTCATGACCCTTGTTCCAATCTTCATCATGGCAGCCAGTTCTGGCCCTGAAACAGGGAGCTGCACAGGAGCCGTTTCCTTCCTTGTTTCTTCCAAAACTGTGGCAGAAGCACCTTGAGCAGAAGCATTCATATCTTCCTCAACGTTGTCACAACTGGGGCCTGACGGAGCGTCAAAAACAATAGCTGAGCCAACAAGTAGCTACAGTGTCCCCTTAATACACACAAAACATTCACAAAGTACTAATGAAGATCGTAATTTTGAACAATCCATACTATATGTTTTATCAATATAATATTATGAATATTTTACTGATATAGGATAAAAAGAAGATAAACGGAAGGATGAAATACATAAATATCCTAGGAAGATATAAAAGATATTAAAATGCTCAGTAAAGCTACTTTCTCTACTTCTAGGAATTACTCCCCTGAAAAAAGCAAAATAACTGAGTTAGAAAGATCCTCATCACATTTTTTATTAATAGAAAAACAAAGATAACTACCTAAATATCTAACAGTGGGAAACTAACAAACTTTAATCATGGTTCTGTGCAGAAGACAGCTAACAGCTGGCCCGAGATACAACCTCAGACAGGGTTGCTGCAGGCTGGCCCTCAGCTGGAGTCTGGATCTCAGGAGGGCTCCCCCATTCCCTAGGTGGTAGGTGTGGTTCCCTGTGCCTGAACTGTCTGTACAAACAATGGGGTCTGTGCTGAAACCTGCTTTCCTTAGTCTGGAACTTGGTACACGCCAGGCAGGGGGTGCCCGTGTGATCAGTCCTGATGGAAACCGTGGGCCTGGAGTCTCTACCCAGCTTCCCGGCAGACAGCACTTGACACGGCTCGGTGCCAGGGCAGTTAAGCTCGTCCTGTGTGGATCCTGTGGAAGCTTGTACCTGCTTTCCTCTGGACTTTACCCATGTCCTTTTTCATGATTTTGCTCTGTGTCCCTTCACTGTAATAAACTATAGCCCTGAGTACAACTACATGCTGAGTCTTGTGAGTCCTCCTGGCCAACCATCAAACCTGGGGGTGGTCTCGGAGACCCCTGACAATTGGTGCCCTGGGTGGCTACAGAGTCATCCATAGCACAAAACAGAAGCCGAGCTGCTGTCACCTGAGAGAAGTAAAACTTCCCAATGGATCTGAAAATAGGAGCGCTAACCCTAGGAGAGTAGGCTAGATTTTTAACCCCCCTTTTCCCACTTGCTAAACTGAGAGGGGGTAGGAGTGTGGTTCTGGTAACTCCCTTGATTTTAGTTTTCTCCTCCAGGTGGGAGGGAAAAAGATCCAAACAGTCCCAAAGGTGGGCTGGGGTGGACCAAAAAATGTAAAAAGTTTGTGTTTCTCTCTCTTCCAAGAGAACAAAAAAGGATATTCAATTCCCAGGGCTGGAGCAAAACTTTAGATAAACTAGCAGCAGAAACAGCCTTTCCTTTAGCCTAGCCGCTACTTTAGGGCCCCCAGGAAGGAGCCCCAAGGAAGGGACAGGAGTTGCATTCCAGGTGGATCTCCCAGGATCCCCTGGGCAGCTATACTGTTAACTCTGTAAAGACTGAATTTATTGCTAAGGGCTTGAATAAATTTGCAACCAAAACCGGGGGGAATTTTTTTATTTTACATAGCTTTATGTTTTGTGGCTGTTACATGTGGATGTATACATTAAGCTGGTATAAAATATTATATGTTTATAATTTCTTAAATGATAAGAAGGATACCCTGATCAGGGCAAGCTGCAAATATAGACGGATATTCATGAGACACAACTTCCTTGCTTTTTGCAGCCAGTGGGCCAGATGAAATTTAAACACATGAATATTATCAACAGAACAAGTCCCCATACTTAATGATTTGTGCTGTGATTTTTACTTATGGGAACCTCTGGGGGAAAAGTAGACAACATAAAAAGGCCATTTCTCGATGGAGATATGCTTTTGTAATTTTTAAATGCAACTTTTGGTTGCTAATGAGGCCTCAGGAAATCAGATATAACCCTTACTAGATAATTCTTTTCAGCTGTAATACACATATTAAAATATATATTTAACATAATACAACATATAAACATAATATATAAATTAAAAAATAATTATATATATATATAGAGAGAGAGAGAGAGAGACAGACAGACAGACAGATAGATAGAAAGATTCCACCCACCCCCAAGACAGGATTTCACTCTGTCACCCAGGCTGGAGCCCAGGCTGGAGTGCAGTGGCTTGATCTCCGCTCACTGCAACCTCTGCATCCCTGGCTCAAGCAATCCTCCCACCTCAGCCTCCCAGGTAGCTGGGACCACAGGCACACACAACTATGCCCAGCTAATTTTCGTATTTTTTGTAGAGAGAGGGTTTCGCTATGTTGCCCAAGTTGGTCTCAAACTCCTGAGCTCAAGCAATCCACCCGCCTGAGCCTCCCAAAGTACTACGATTACAGCCTGGCCTGATACATATTTTTGAATGGATTAATGTGAACTCTAAAACTGATGTGATTATAAGAGCTTGGGAAAACCTTGCTTTTTCACTGTGACTTTGACAACTGGCCCTGCAGCATCTCAGTTTTAGCCAAAGAACACCACCATAAACCAATCAGATCTAATAGACATATACAGAACATTTCACCAAAAAGAGCAGAATACACGTTCTTCTCAAGTATACCACAGGACACTCTCTTAGACTGACCAGACCATATGTTAGGCCACAAAGTCTCAAATTTAAACAGACGAAAATCATACAAGTTACCTTCTCCAACCAAAAGGAAATGATGAGAAATTAATAACAAAAGGAAAAGTGGAAAATTCACAAGTATATGAAAATTAAACAACACATGGTAAACAATCAGTGGGTCAAAGAAGAAATCACAAGGGAAATTAGAAAATACTATGAGATGAATGAAAACACAACACACCAAAACTTCTGTGCTGGGCCAAAAGCAGGGCTAAAAGGGGCAATTATACTATAAAAGTCTGCATTTACAAAAGATGATCTCAAATCAATAACTCTACATCTGGAAGAACTAAAAAAATAAGAACACAATAAAAACCAAAGTTAGGCCAGGTGTCGTGCCTCACACCTGTAATCCCAGCAACTTTGGGAGGCTGAGGCAGGTAGATAACTTGAGCCCAGGAGGTTGAGGCTGCAGTGAGCCATGAGTGCGCCACTGTACTTGGGCCTGAGGGACAAAGTAAGACCCTGTCTCAAAACAAAGACAAAAACAAAAACAAAAAAATACAAAGCAGAAAGAAGGAAACGATAGAGATTAGAGCAGCCATAAATTAAATAGAGAATAGAAAAATAATCTACAAAACCAAAAGTTCGGTTTCTGGCAAGAACAAAAAATCTGACAAACTTTTGGTAAATTAAGAAAAAAAGAGGCCAGTCAAGGTGGCTCACGCCTCTAATCCCAGCACTTTGGGAAGCTGAGGTGGGCGGATCACAAGGTCAAGAGATTTAGATCATCCTGGTCAACATGGTGAAACCCCATCTCCACTAAAAATACAAAAAAAATTAGCCAGGCCTGGCGGCAGGCGCCTGTACTCCCAGCTTACTTGGGAGGCTGAGGCAGGAGAATCACTTGAATCCGGGAGGCGGAGGTTGCAGTGAGCCAAGACTGTGTCACTGCACTCTGGCCTGGCAACAGAGTGAGACTCCATCTCAAAAAAAAAAAAAAAAAAAGAAAAAAAAGAGAAAAGATGCAAATAACTAACATCAGAAATGTAAGTGGAGACAGTACTACCAACATAAAAATAAAAAAGATTATAAAAGAACACTGTGAACAACTGTATGCCAACAAATAAAATAGCCTAGATAAAATGGACACATTCCTAAAAACATAAATTACCCAAACTGACTCAAGAAGAAATAGAAAATCTGAATAGAGCCATAACAAGTAAAGAGATTGAATCGGTAATTAAAAATCTTTCAGGCCAGGCGCCGTGGCTCACGCCTGTAATCCCAGCACTTTGGGAGGCCGAGGCGGGTGGATCACGAGGTCAGGAAATCGAGAGCATCCTGGCTAACACAGTGAAACCCCGTCTCTACTAAAAATACAAAAAATTAGCCGGGCGTGGTGGCTGGCGACTATAATCCCAGCTACTCAGGAGGCTAAGGAAGGAGAATGGCGTGAACCCGGGAGGCGGAGCTTGCAGTGGGCCGAGATCACGCCACTGCAGTCCAGCCTGGGCAACAGTGTGAGACTCCGTCTCAAAGAAAAAAAAAAAAAAAATCTTTCAACAAAGAAAAGCTTAGGTGGTCAACTCTACCAAACATTTAAAGCTGAACTGACACCAATCCTCAAACTCTTCTAAAAACAGAATATATGGGAACACTACCTAGTTCATTCTATGAGGCCATTATTACCCTGATAACTGTAAAACAATAAAATATTGCTGAAAGAAATTAAAGAGGACAGAAATAAATGGAAAGACATTCCACATTCAGAGAATGGATGTTAACATTGTTAAAATGGCACTATTCCCCAAAACAATCTACAGATTCAATCCCTAGCAAAAATCCCAATGGTCTTTTTTTGCAGATATGGAAAAGCCAGCCTTGAAGTTCATGTGAAAATGCAAGGGACCCAAAGTAGCCAAAATCATCTTGAGAAAGAAAACACACTTCTCAATTTTAAAACAGTACAAAACTACAATGTTCAAAACAGGGCGGTACCTGCACAATTATCAACATATAGAATGTGATAATGTAATTGAGAGTCCAGAAATAAACCTAAATATCCACAGCCAACTGATTTTTGCCAAGGGTACCCAGAACTTCAGGGAAAGAACAGTCCTCAACAAGTGGTATTGAAACAATCAGATCAACAAAAGAAAAAGGCTGGACTCTTACCTCACACTGTGTAAAAGAAATTACCTAAAAATGGACCAAAGATCTAAATATAAGAGCTGAAACTATAAAACTTACAGAAGAAAACATGAGGATAATCTTCATCAACCTTGTGTTTGGAAATGGCTTTTTGGATATGATATCAAAAGCATAGACGACAAAAGAGAAACAGATAAATTGAACTTCATCAAAATAAAAAACTTCTCTATCTAAGGGAATACAATCCAGAGAACAGGAGAAAATACCCTCAAATGATATACCTGATAAAGGTCTACAGATCTGTGAAGGTCTAGTATACACGAACTTTTTAAAGAGTCTGAGGACTGGTGTTAATTCTTCTTTAAAGGTTTGATACACTTATATAGTGCATTTATTGGTACAACAAGATGACGACAAATAACCCTATTTAAAAAGGAGAAAGGGGCTGGGCGCAGTGGCTCACGCCTGTTATCCCAGCACTCTGGGAGGCCAAGGCAGGCAGATCACCTGAGGTCAGGAGTTCCAGACCAGCCTGGCCAACATGGCGAAATCCCATCTCTACTAAAAATACAAAAGTTAGCCAGGTGTGGTGGTGTGTGACTGTAATCCCAGCTACTTGGGAGGCTGAGGCACAAGAAGTGCTTGAACCCGGGAGGCGGAGGTTGCAGTGAGCCGAGATCGTGCCACTGCGCTCCAGCTTGGGCGACAGAGTGAGACTCCGTCTCAAAAAAATAAAATAAAAAATAAAGAGAAAGGGACTTGAATAGACACTTCTCCAAAGAAGATATACAAATGGCCAACAAGCACAAACATGTAAAGAAGCTCAATGTCATTCATCATTAGTGAAATGCAAACCAAAATCACAATGAGATACCACTTCACACCCGCTAGGATGGCCTTAATCCAAAAAAAAAAAGAAAACCACAAAAAATAGTGTTGGCAGGGAAGCAGAGAAACTGGAACCCTGGAATCCTGCCCACTGGTGATGGGAATGTAAAAATGATATGGCACTGTGGAAAACTTTGGTAGTTTCTCAGTAAGTTACACATAGTTGTACCATATGACCCTGTAATTCCAGTCCTAGGTGTATAATCAAAAGAACTAGAAACAAGTGTTCAAACAAGTACTTGTATATAAATGTTCCTAGCAGCACTATTCACAAAAGTCAAAAGGCAAAACCAACCCAAATGTCCATCAACAGATAAATGAGTAAACAAAATGTTATATATTCATACAATGAAATCTTTTTCAGCCATAAAAATAAAGTACTGATATATACCAAATGAAATAACCCAGACACAAAGGCCACAAATGGTATGATTCCATTTATATGAAATATCCGGGATATGCAAATCCATAGACAGAGAAAGCAGATTTGTGACTACCAGGGGCTGGAGAGCAGGGGAGTGAGGACTGATGGCTAAATGGGGTGCATTTATAGTGATGAAAAAGTTCTACAACTAGACAGTGGTGATGACTCTAGAAAATTGTGAATGTATTTAATACCGCTGAATTGCGACGTTAAAATGCTACACTTTCTGCTATTTGTGTCTTACCATAATTTACAAAAAGCTTTTTTTAAAAAAAAGAAAGAAAATAAATCAAAGCAAAATCTTGACGTTTTCCCAAAGGCTCTCAAGCCAGTGCAGACCTACCAATCAGGCGCAGTGCCGTCTGAGCGAGGGCCAGCGTGCCGGAATTGAGCAGGAGGTCAAGGTTGTTTGCGCTGTGCTGCAGGGTGAGCATGCTGAGCATCACCAGGAGGAAGTGGGCTTGCGGGATGGTCCCCAGGCTCGGTCCCGATGGGTTCTCATTGGTGATGGTTTGCAGGGGAACCGGCTGGATACCTAATGAGCATTGGCACCCACTGACATTTCTTGTAATGGATACAAGAATAAATGTAATGCAGAAAGCACGGGCAATTACTCTAAACATCTGACTAATAAGCACTGACACCCACTGACATTTCTTGTGCGTGGATACAAGAATAAACGTAACGCAGAAAGCATGGGCAATTACTCTAATCATCTGACTATTTTGACACCCACTGACATTTCTCTCGCATGGATACAAGCATAAACGTAACGCAGAAGGCACGGGCGATTACTCTAAACATCTGACTATTTTTCAGTGGTTTCCACAGAGTGGGCAGCTCTGTCATGCTGCACGATGGGCCTACCCCCTGCATTCTATGCACAGGTCGTTCCATCTGTCTACAGGACTTAGTATGTTGCTCTCTGAATACACCGGTGCCCTATTCCATTCCTTCCATTTCAAATATAAAAGTTATGTCTCACTTTTCCTCCATAAAATCAATCCAATCAACTCTCTGTAGATGCTCAAACTATCCAGGAAATAAATATCAATATAGGACACAGACACTTTAGGATATGTGGTGATACACATAAAAATGTCAAAATGTAAAAATGTTATACTAGAGTACTTCAACATTGTGTCTCCTGCTAAATTTTAAAGTTTTGTTTAAAATCTGAGAAAGCTGACAGCAGCATAGATTATACAAGTACAAAGTACAAACTTATTAAAGTCTTCTCAAAACCAAAAATTGGCATTTGCAAGTTTCCACAACATATAATTAAAGGCAAACTATAAAATAACATTGATACAATTATTGACTCACCAAGCTCTTTAAATTTGGCACTGGCATCCACCAAAACATTTCGAATGTTCTGAACAGCCCAAGCGTACAGCTTGCCAAAGGTGACTTCCAGCAGCATCCGATTAAAAGGCGGGATCAAATCAACATCCTTTAAACAATCAGTAAGAGGTTCCCTTTCAAATAAAGATAAAGAATTTGACATGGGACACTGCCAGACTTCTAACTGTTACAGAAAAACATTCTGTTGCCACAGCTTCCTTAATTAAGAAAAAAATATGCTAACGTTTTACCCTATATCGATTCCCTCAGGAATAAGTCTTTGCCATCCACAAAACATTGCATATGGCACAGATGGAAGTAAGAAATTCTTGCTCACCAGATACAATTTTAAAATTGTATCTATCCCTTCCAGGCGAACCTCTGCTCTCTCCAACTGCAAAATATCAATGCATACAGTTAAGTGTTATGTATATTACCCAATGCAGAGAAGCATTTCTCATCAAATGTTACCTGTTTTAGTAGGCACTTTCTCTTTTCCACATCCACTGGCTCTTCTTTAAGGGCAAATTCAGCAATTGTACTGAGGAGTGGAGACTGCGGATAAAGACCCTGCACATTCTGCTTCAACCACTTGTATTTGTGAACACCTGTAACAGTACTCAACAGCGGCTGCCATTTGTCCTAACAAAGGAAAACAATTTTCATCATTAGTCTACCCTATTTAATAATAAACTGTGCTCTAAAAGTTATTCAAGTAAAATATAAATAATGCTTATGGGTTTAAATTGGTTAAAATACGTTAAATTTAGTAATACATGTTTTTAAAACTATGCTATAAATATAAGTGAATTTATAATCTCTATACTATATGTTGGAACAGGCTAGCTTGGCATACTAAGTTAAGTTATGGTTCATATTAACAGCCACAGGGCCCAGCACTGTTTCTGGAACAAAGAATATATTTAAGGAATGAATGGTGAATAATTAATGATACAATCTAATACCAAAAATAAAAGGAAACCCTTCTCCAGCTACAGCTCTGACCAGGACATCATAAGTCAAGTTCATGAAGCATCACTGGGGCCGTATTTCTAACAACCGCCCGTCCCTCCCTCCAGATGCTCAGGTACAGAGGTACAAGACTGTGGATTCCTGTGCTACATGCTACGATTCTATTCAGCCAACCTCAGAATCACAGAAAATACTGCACCTTGGGTGATTTAATTGCAATGGGTCTCTTGTCCACATTTATTGGACTATGAGGCAAAATGCAAGCTTCTTCTAAATCACTCTCTTCGTTTCCAATTTTTTCTTCATCATCCGTAGATTCTGGCTTCTTAGGAACTGTGTTTTAAAACATCATTCACTATAAAAATCATACACTTAAATATTAATTTTAAATTAAGACATATTTAGATTTACATGAAGGACAAATATTTCATTCAAATAAACATCTGAACAACATTATAAATTGCAATGCTCAACAAGAGTGAAATGATCACCCTGGCAGAACAAAAAGACAAAGTGAGAGTGCGACGAGGGGAGAAGCCCCGAAGCAGGGGAAGCCCGGCAGCCAGCAAGCTCTTCCTCAAGTGCCAGAGAGTGAACATTTGAGTCTTTCAGGCCATGCTGTCTGTCGCAAATACTCAACTCTGCTGCTGTAGCACAAAAAGTAACCACAGATAAAGCAACAGGTGTGGCTGTGCTCCTGTAAAACTTTATTTATGGTGCTACAATTTTAGCTTCATGTAATTTTCATGTGCCAAAATAATATACTTCTTTTAATTTTTAAATAACAATTTCAAACTGGAAAAAAAAAAAAGGTCTTAGTCCATGGGCAACCCAAAGCCAGCAAGAGGTAGAATTTGGCCCATAGTTCCTGGCTTGTCCACCCTGGTCCAGTTCAGTGGTTCTGTTACTGTGTAACTGAATCAACTGAATTCACTGTGATATGTGGAATTTCCTCCCTATACTTTATCTCTTTTAAAATTTTTGGTCTAAATCTCCTCAGCATATAATATAAAAAATAAGCAACATGATAATACATCTGGGCAGTAAAGAGCTAACATAGCAGGCCGGGGTTGCTCAAACCCTGCAAATTCCCAAGGAAGGTCTGTCCCTTCAGGATTGGTCCTTCTTCTAGGAGCTGAGCTCTGAGCCCTTGGAACATCCTGCCTGAGAAGTTTTTTGGTATACCTGACACCCAGGACCTTGTGGCAGTGGTCTGGCCAGGTAGTTTATGCTAATGATGGGACTTGCGAGGGACCACTTGTTTTTGCACTGGGGCACTGGAGCCTGAGTGAGGTCAGTCACAGGGGCACTGCCTGCGTATGTGACTGGCCCCCAACAAAATCTCTAGACTCGAGGCTCAGGTGCGCTGGCCTGGTTGACAATTCTTCACACATGATGTGACACTGTTGCTGGGAGAGCTAAGCACATCCACGTGACGCCACTGGGGAGAGACACCAAAGCGTGTGCCTAGTTTCCTCTGGACTTCCCTCCATGCACCCTTCCCTCTGCTAATTTTAATCTGTATCCTTTTTGCAGTAAAAACACAGCTGTGACTATAACAGCTCTTCTGAGTCCTTTTAGTGAATCATCAAGCCTGAGAGAAGGCTCGGGGATCCCTGACACAGCAACAGGAATATTAATCACTTAATCTTTTCAAGTTACTTAATTTCCAAAAAAAAAAGAAAACCAGCTTGAAACACCACACGATAAATCTATAAACCCACAAGAAACTCTAAAAGTGACAGTGTGGGCTCAGAACCCACGGATATGAGATGGCAAATGTGGAGTCTCTCTCCCTCATTCCGAGGCAGCCTGTCTCCTGGGCCCAGGCTGAGTTCCTGCATGCCTGGGTTAAAGGAATCGCAGCAGTGTGACTGCTGTGACTTCCTGATCCAGAGCACCCCTCGCATTCAGACAGGCTGTTATGGTGTAGGGTTTGTTCAGGAACAATCAAATTAGGATGGCTTCTAACACACTTTAGTCTTTCATAAGCTTATTGTTCAAAATGCCCATCAGAAAGTCAGTAATCAATACTGTTCAATAAGCAGGTTTGTGAGTAAATCAGTATAAGTCATAATATGATCAGAGGCCAGGCGCGGTGGCTCACGCCCGTAATCCCAGCACTTTGGGAGGCCGAGGCAGGCAGATCACGAGGTCAGGAGATCAAGACCATCTTGGCCAACATGGTGAAACTCCGTCTCTACTAAAATATAAAAATTAGCCAGGAGTGGTGGCGCGTGCCTGTAATCCCAGCTACTTGGAAGGCTGAGGCAGGGGAATCGTTTGAACCTGGGAGGCGGAGGTTGCAGTGAGCTGAGATCGCACCACTGCACTCCAGCCTGGCAACAGACCAAGACTCCATCTCAAAAAAAAAAAAAAAAAGGATATAATCAGAAATTTCTGTAGTTTATTTATAATCACAAGTGACTAAATTCTAAACTATTTTATAATTTCTAAGCATTTTTATTCAAATTTGGATTTAATGCAAAAAGACTTTTCTGTACCCTTACACAGCTACTTCCAGGAAAATGTCAGTAACTCTTTTAGCTTCCCTTTATAGTTCTTCATGTATCAGAATACTCAATATTTCCAAACAAAAAACATTTCTTTAGAAGAATGGCAATAAGTTTAAATGTTCCCATTATATCTCATTACCAGGATAACTAATAAAAGTACTTCCTTGTTCCCATCAATTTAGCAAAGATTATTTACGTTTTCAACATCAATTTACTAGTAATCAAATCATACCACACTCAATTCCTAAACTGCCTCATTGTCTGATCATTTGGAAAAATAAGCGAGATGTCTGTATTTAATCCTAACTATAATAAAAATGATGGCAGCAGGTAGAAATGTTACATGGAATCAACAGTAGAGAAACTTCACTCTGAAATCACAGATCCAACGTGGCAGGGTGAAGCACAAGCTTTAATAGTATCTTCTGTCCTTTTACATTCTTACCTCTCTTTTTCCTTGGTTCTCGAATTATCTTCTGAGCTATCCTCCTCCAATGGGGCAAAGAACTTAACAATTTAAACTTAGACATTATAGAGAGGTCATTACAAACAGCAGGTCTCAATTCATTAAAGAGGAATCTCAAACGTTCGATGACAGGAGCGCAGACCTCCTTGTAAGAACGGTCCTGTTCTTGATGAGTCTGCAAAGTTAACCAGGAAAAGACAACTTTAACAACAAATATTTCAGCAACTGTCTGCAAAGCACAGAATAAAAAGAATTAAAATCTATCACCTTAATGAGCGAACATTTTGCTTGGTAGACAACTCTACAAACATCCACCACTGACTTAGGCAACGTTCTGTGCTTTACTTGCTCAATACCAAGTGCACCTGCATGAACTAAAGATAATGCCACATGACCTGTAAAAAGACATTTAAAAGAAGGGCAGTGAAGGAATGAATACGTACCACAGGTTAGTCGAGGAATCTGCAGTGTAGCTAAAGTACAAAGATATTGAGCTCCTTACCTAAATCTTCATGTTTTAAGAGGCAACATAACAGCAAGCGACCGACCTCTTCCACGGGATGCTCGGGGGGAAACATGATCGGTGTGGTCAAATGGCACTGCCTACAGTACCTTTCTATTTGACACAAAAAGTCCTGCAACAGGAACAGCTGGAAGTAACTTCAGGGAAACCCAGTGAGTCTTCACAAATCTTAAACATGCCACAGCTTCTGACGCACTTGCAATCACTAATGCTTCTGAAGCCTCGCTAGCATGTTAACACAATCAGGTTCTCACCTCAAAACCCTCCAAATAATACATGAAACAAAGTCTGTGCTGTGTTAACCAAAGAGCACATAAGTATTCCTATGTCAAAGTCCTCAGATAAACAGAGCACTGAGGTGGCAGTGGGGGCAGGCCTAGCTCACCTTCACGTTGTGATCCTGAATGTTGTTGTCTGCAATGGCTTGCAGAAATGCCTGGGAATGGTCCCCCAGGGCCCGTCTGTGGGAGCAGAGTCGAGATTTGCTGGCAGGTGTGCCCCCTGGGGAGCTGCAGTGGTCCTCGTCTTTCTCCTCGTTGTAGCTGTAGTGGATCTGGCTGGTCTGCAGGCCTCCAGAGAAGATGGATGACTGAAGCCATTCTAGAAAATGCACACGCAAACATGAAAGAGAAACTCAAGTGCACAACTCAAAATAAATACTAAAAAAAAAAAAAGATGCTCAACTGAACACTCAATTTAGAAGGTGAAATTCAGCATCATTCATATGAAAGAGCTCCACCTAACATGTTTACACAGGTTGACTTATAATTCCTCTATCTACGTGAACACACTTTCTGGTGATTCCACACGCCTCAGGCATGGCATCAGAACTCAGGATCGTAGTTCCAGTCCAACATTCTCTGGATACCTGTGCTCTGCCTGCAGCTGCCTGGTTCCACAGGTACCGTGTGAAGACTGAGGTGCACATTCTAACAGGGAAGGCAGCAAAGGGCACCGCTGACACAATTAATCACAGGATTTCAAGTCCGAAACTGTGCAACAGATGACTATGGGGGTACCAGGGAGACTGGAAGACAGACCACCGCTATTCTGAGGGTCAGTGAGGGACTTGTGGAAGCAACAACTGAGCTAAGATGAGGAATAAGACCCAGACGCTGAGTATCCAGGCAGGGAACAGCACATCTGAAGGGTTTCTACAAAGAATTACATCCTCAGGGTAGGCTATGTATTCCTAGAGCACTTATAAAGGAATGAAAAGGAGAAAATATTTAAGAAACACACAATCTGTAATGAAGGATAGATCCTTGGAGATGGGAGGGCCGATGGACTGGAAAGGAGACCTGTGCGTGGTGCAAGGCATGGGATCAACCAGTGCGAATGTTAATTACAACTGCTTATGGCAACTTGAGGGAGTGCACCACTACAGATCTCTATTAACAATCTGTGTTATCAAATACTGCTCCAAATCCAAGCAATCAAAGCGGGATGCACTTAGTGTTCTTTTACTGGACATTTAGATTTTAGAGCACTCAGGAGCATTCCCCAACACACCACATTCGTTCTTCTGAAACACTAATCCAATGCCGACTCTCTCTGGCCCCCTCTCTTTAAGCACAGGACAGCCCCTCCTTACTGCTCCAAGATAAGCCTCTGATCCTCCTGTGGATCGGACCCACCTGCCAGGGCCCATGGCACCCTCTGCCCTGGAGCTCGCCAGCCCTGCCCTCCTTGCCAATTTAAACAAAGCCCATCTTCTGGCAAGCAATGAACCTTGAGGAGGAGGGAAGGAAGCAGACACCTCAGAGGGCACCACAGGCAGCCCAGCACCTAGCACTGCACAAAGGTCCGCCCAACGGGGGGCTGTATGGACACCAAGATCCTCCTTCCCTGCAAGCCTCTGCCACACCCACTCCTGCAAGCAGCAGGAAAGCCCTGCTCCTCTCAGCAGTGCCCTTGACACTCCTGTGTTTTCTGCCCCGAATGCTCTCTCACGCAATTTCAGGACTGCTGCCAATGTGAAGCCTTTCTTCTCCCAGAACCATGTATGAACATCTCCATTTCACCATTCACCACCTTGTAATGTGACCTGCTTAGAATGGTGGCTCATCAACAAGCAGCAGCTGAAAGCAGAGGCGTGTCCTACCCATCACTGCATCCTGAACACCTCGCATGGTAACGGCACCAGAAAGCAGAGGTGTGTCCTATCTATCACTGTATCCTGAACACCTCGTATGGTAACGGCACCAGGCAAATGCTCAACAGAAGCTGCTCACATGGATGGACAGACAGACAGATGGGAAATGCACAACTACATGAAGGAAAATGGAAACACATCTTAGGAGACAGAAAGAAGCTTATTATTTTAGGTGGTTACAAAGGCTGCCATCCTGAAATATAACTGACTTGAGCCTGGTCTGGTAAAAACGCAGTGCTCAAATAGTATGCTCTTCCCTGAGAGGACAGCTGATCCACATTCTGTGCAATTTCTGGGCATGCAGGGAGACAAAAGCCATGCTGGGCCCATCAGGCAGAGGCTGCAATACGTGAGACCACCAAGGGCAGACGGGTAGACATTCCTGCACACTTTTTAGCTTCCTCTGCAGCAACAGACCATGAGGGCAAATGACAACCACTCACAGCTGTTTCTACCTGATTGAGTCTCACTATCCTTATTATTATTATTTTTATCATCATCAACTGTGTTGAATCCTCCTCTCCTTTTTTTTTTTTGAGACCGAGTCTCGCTCTTGTCACCCAGGCTGGAGTGCAGTGGCATGATCTCAGCTCACTGCAACCTCCGTCTCCTGGGTTCAAGCAATTCTCCTACCTCAGCCTCCCGAGTAACTGGGATTACAGGCACCCGTCACCACACCCAGCTAATTTTTGCATTTTTAGTAGACATGGGGTTTCACCACATTGGCCAGGCTGGTCTTGAACTCCTGACCTCAGGTGATCCACCCGCCTCAGCCTCCCAAAGTGCTGGGATTACAGGCATGAGCCACTGCCTGGCCATCTCCTGCTTTTTTAAAGAGAGAGTCTTGCTCTGTCACCCAGGCTGGAGTGCAGTGGTATGATCATGACTCACTGCAGCCTCAACCTCCCAGGCTCAAGCAATCCTCCTACCTCAGCCTCCTGAGTATCTGGGACTACAAATACGTGCCAACATGCCTGGCTAATTTTTGTGTTTTTTGTAGAGATGGGGTTTTGCCATGTTGCCCAGGCTGGTCTCAAACTCTTGACCTCAAGCAATCCACGTGCCACAACCTCCCAAACTGCTGGGATTACAGGCATGAACCACTGTGCCTGGCCCTCTCCCACTCTTAATGGCACTTACAGTTCAAAAAAAAATAATCTGCTGATCAGCAAAAAGCAAAGATTTTCTTACTGGCACATTCAATCTCGACAGGAGACAGCGGTGTGCTCATTGCCAAATAGGAAGCGTGTAATCCGAGAAGCAGGCCCAGATTCCTCTCTGTGTCTATCAGAGGTGAAGAGAGACTCCCCAGATCTGGTATGGTGACGATTTCTTGGTCAGGCTGGAAAAATAAATTTCATCATCAATCTGAGGAAACAGAATTAATTAAAAACATAAAACCAAAAGGACAGCTCTGTCCTGCAGCTGTAACCGCACGTGAGCCCAGGGGTGCTCTGGGCATTCTGCCCCTCCATCCTGTAATGAGTTGATGCTGCTGTGCCCAAGTAACAGCAGATACCACATAAACCCACAAAAGACCCAGATATCAGTACTTCTAGATCCAAATATTCCTATCACAAACACACAGAGGGTATCCCCTGCCATCCTCTGCATCACTCAAGGCATACAGCCTCACCTCCAAATACTGGCCAACACAAAATGCGTGCATGGATTCCCGGGTGTCTTCAAACTGCAAAGCAGCTTCCAAAGCTACCACTGGGTCTTCCCCTGCAAACTGAGCTGAAACAAAAAGGGAAAAAGCAACATGAGTTCAATTCAGCTTGCCTGAAGAGCTACAGGAGAAATAGTGAGTAGGAAATAAGTTAGGCTCTTAACTCAAAAGTGAGGGTTACCAGAATATAATGACCTCCCACTGTCTCCCAGGGTTGCCTGGGCCAACTCGGAACTTGAAATGAGTTCCAAGTATTAAAACAAAAGATACATAATGAAAGGAAATTCTTCGAATGTGCTGAATTTGTTGATAAGACAGACACCAAAGCCACAGATACATTAAAATATGCGGGGGCTGGCACAAAACTAAAGGAATCATTTATAAGCCAAATACTCTGCTTAAAATGATACAGGCTGTAACTTTTAACCAGGAAATAACAAGTGTAATCTTACCAAGAATACTATTTTCTGTTAACGACTGTGTCTGGAAGTCCTTTATATCATACACTTTCCCGTCAATCACAGTCCAGAAGCCTCCATCGTTATTATGGTTCTCCAAATCAGCTATGCGTACAAGTGTCACTTTCTCATTATTTCTACAGTTCTGACCTGTAAAAAATGACTCTGTATATACAGAAACCAGAATCAGTCCATTGATCAATCAACAGGTAAAATGAAAAGAACAAACTGTGTGAAAGAACTACAAGCAGAAATAAACAAATCCACAATCACAATGGGAGAAATACATACCTAGCTCTGAAACTAATACCACACATACAAATTCTGTTAAATATAGAATGCTTTAAAAAAAAAGTCTAGGCAGCATGAATACCAAATCGGGCCATGCCAGGCCATAGAGTAAATCTCAACAGATTTCAAAGAAATAAACTTACAGAGCATGTGTGCTGACTACAATGCAGTTAAATTACAAATAGGTTTTCAAAAATTCATTCAAAATAAAATAAAAATGACTCTGTATACACAGAAAATAAAAATATTCATCCACATATTTGAAAATTACAAGATACACTTATAAGTAACCCAAAATTCTAAGAAAAAATGACTATGAAAATTAGAAAATGTGTTCAGTTAATAATCAAAATACTGCAGATCGAAATTGGTGACATACAACTAAATGCATGCTTGAGGGCATTTATGCCTTTAAATGTATATATTTACACATTAAAGGGGGAAAAAGCTAAAAAAGAAAAGAAACACCAAATCAATAAAAGTCTGTTAGTTCATAAAAATACTCAAAAAAAAGAAAACCTGAGTGGTGGTCACCTATGCAAGTGCTAGGATACCAACTCAATATTATGAAAAATAGTTAAAGGGAGGTGGCAGTTCAAGAAGTCAAGCTTAGATTATGTCCTTGCTGTACAAATTGTACCTCCTGCTAACCAGACAGCAGAGGGCAAGGTTGGTAGGGGATTTTATAGAGGATACGCAACACATGAATTCCCTGGTCTAGCTTCACAGAACTAAAGCGGGGAGCCACCGAGCATTACAGGCCTCCTGAGCCAACAGAAAGCATGCAGCATGACCCCAGACATAACACCGCCCCAACGAGACTGAATTCAAATCCAACCAAACCTCTAGATCTAACCAGCAGATTAATGTAACTAACAGAAGAACATGTTGGTCTAGAATAAGAGAATGCAATCAACCAAGTTCAGAAAATGTGAAGTTCTCCAAAATAACCAACCTGCTTCTTTGAAAAAGAAAACGGTATGATCAGAGACAGGGAGAAGAGGGCCTGGAGCCATGTTGTTTGGGGAAAGAGACTAGAAGCATATGTCAAGCAATGCCAATACGCAGAACATGCTCAGGTCTTAATTCAAAATTACCACCTAAAAAAGGCATTTTTGAGATAGTCCAGGAAAATGTAACATGGACTGCATGTTAGATTAAGGAATCACTGTTAATCTTATAGACAGGATAATGATATTGTAGGGTTTTTTTAAAATCCTTATCATTAAGAGGTAAAATACCTTAAAATGTTTTAAAGACAGAGTTATGCTTTAAAATAATCCAATCAGCCGGGCGCGGTGGCTCATGCCTATAATCCCAGCACTTTGGGAGGCCGAGGCGGGCAGATCATGAAGTCAGGAGATCGAGACCATCCTGGCTAACACAGTGAAACCCCATCTCGTACCATGCCATATTACTGCATTTAACAGGTATGATGAAGCAACTGAACAGGCTATTTTTCCATTTCCATTGCATTTCAACAGAGCCCATTAAAAAGTAGTATAAATGGCCCTTAAATACTAATATATTTTAAAATGCTCAAACTATATCGGGGTCACCACTTTGTGCTTTAGCAGGCAAAATCCCAAAAGCCCACACACAAGGCTGGGAGACCAGCATCCCTATTGGTGGTGAGAGAAATCAAGATGTACAGGAGCAATCTGGTGACAACCAGCCCACACGAGGTCCATCCCCACCTGTGCATGTGCACAGGCACACACGCGTGCACACATGGAGGACACGTGTTCCAGGCCAGGCCTTGCAGTACTATTTGTGTTTTCTGTTGTTGTTGTTTGAGATGGAGTTTCACTCTTGTTGCCCAGCCTGGAGTGCAGTGGCGCGATCTCGGCTCACTGCAACCTCTGCCTCCCAGGTTCAAGCGATTCTCCTGCCTCAGCCTCCCAAGTAGCTGGGATTACAGGCATCCGTCACCACGCCCCGCTAATTTTTGTATTTTTTAGTAGAGACGGGGTTTCTCCAAGTTGGCCAGGCTGATCTCAAACTCCCAACCTCAGGTGATCCACCCACCTCGACCTCCCAAAGTGCTGGGATTACAGGCGTGAGCCACTACACCCGACCCTCAGCACTATTTGTATAGCAACATTGTGGCAATAAGCCCAAGTGTCCACCAATAAGAGACTCACTAAAGAAAGATAGATAAAAGACACATCCACACACTGAAGACTAAGCTGATTTATAAAAACAAAGAGGGACACTCTGATAAGGTACTCCAGTATATATGGTTAGTTAAAAAAAAAAAACAAAAAACAAGCAACACAAGTAATGAAGCATGCTACCACGAACGTACTCATGCCAGAGAACAAGGAGGTTACAGAGGAGACTGGAAAGTCAGAGGGAGCAGGTGGGAAAATGGGTGGAAGGGGTGGGCAGGGGAAGCGACAGTGTGTCTCTGCCTAGGTTTGATTTTTGAACCATGTGACTGTATTTTTTTTTTTAATGACTGTAAAACAAAATAAATACTCTTTATACTAGAAATAAAATGTTAGAAAAATCTGGATTCAAAACTAGGATTACTGTTCTGCACTGGCAAAGTTCACTACCATTCCCAAAGGCAGTTTTCTCATTGACATAATGAGATACAACAGCGTGCATGAGGTCCTCAGCGGGCCTGCACCCTACAGGTGCTCCACACATGCAAATCACTACCATTACTATTACATAAGAGATATAATACATAATTATACTGTCACTACTATAACCAGCATGACATACTAAGACAGCCTGCGTTCAGAGTATGAAGAAGGCTGTGGAACCCCCTGCAGAAGGTGGGAGGGCCTGGGGCTGTGGATAAAGGGGAGCTCTCTGGGGCTGTGCCACCTGAACCTGGAACCCGGGCCCCCAGGTTGGGTCGCCAGGCCTGTGCGCCTCAGCTTGCTCATCACTCACTCTCAACACGGATAACACCTTCAACTGCAAACACGTTTAAAAACCACAGGCCAGCTCCCCCTACCAATACCAGAAAAAACAAGTCTCCACACGGGCCCAGGATGAGAACCTACAAGTGGTACTAGCTACAAAACACATGGAGAACACGGTTCTTGCACACACCTTATGAGACGTCGGAGAGCTACACAGAGGAGGCATCTACAGGGTGTAGCCAGACGGTCTAAATGGGCCATGACAACAACCGCCGTTTGTTGCAGATCAATGGCAAGCCTGTTGTCTTGTGGAAGGGTGAGGTACCTCAGGAAACTCTCACTGGGGCTCAGAGGACCACACAAAAGCTAGAAAGGAAAAGTAAACAAAAATTCAGAACTGGTGGGAAAAACTAAAGTAACACAGTTTTTTACCCACGCTTTATATTTTGGTATTGACTCACTTGACCCATCAAATGACAATGTTGATGATACAGTTATACTATACGTCTATATATTTATGCAGCATATAAACTGTATAAATCTCTAAATCTGCTGTATACATGTACACAACATTGACTGTGCATGTATACATTTATGATACCATAGGTAAGTTGAATCCACACAGATTACTAACATGACCAAACCACTCTACAAGCCTAGGACCCCTGGAGAAAGGCAGAACCACCTCTGTGGGAACCCAGCACAGCATCTCAAGCTGGCCTTGAAATCTAAAACCAAAACCTTTATTTTAATCCACTCTGGAGAACACCTACTTTCATTTGCAAATTAAATCACAGTTCTAATTCTTCTAAAGGCAGAAGACCCCTATTATCATTAGTTTAAAGACTGCCAAATAATAGGCTGGGCATGGTGGCTCACACCTGTAATCCCAGCACTTTGGGAGGCCGAGGCAGGCAGATCACAAGGTTAGGACTTTGAGACCACCCTGGCCAACATGGTGAAACCTCATCTCTATTAAAAATATAAAACTGAGCTGGGCATGGTGGCGGGTACCTATAATCCCAGCTACTCGAGAGGCTCAGACAGGAGAATCATTCGAACTAGGGAGGCGGCAGTTGCAGTGAGCTGAGAACGTGCACTGCACTCCAGCCTGGGAAACAGGCAGAGACTCCGAAGACGGGAAGGGACGGGATGGGACGGGATAGGACAGGACGGGATGGGATAGGACGGGACGGGAAGGGAGAAAGAAAGCAATGTACCCGCAAAACAAACAAACAAACAAAAAAACAGTCTCGGGGACCTATGGGACTATAACAACTCCGGTCACTGAACTCACGAAGGGACAGGAGAAAGAAGGTGGGGCTGAAACTGTACTCTATGAAGTGATGGCTTACAAGTTCCCAAATTTGGCAAGAGACATAAATCTACAGATCTAAGGTAAGCAAACCCTAAACAGGATGAACCCAAAGAAATCCAAACTAAGACATATAATAATCAAACTCCAAAAAACAAAAGACAAAACATTTCAAAAGCCACTAAACAAAAACAGTGCCTTAACTATCGTGGATTAACAAGTCAAATGACAGCGAATTTCTCATCAGAAACCATGGAGCCCAGCTGAAAGTACAAAATATTTTTCAAGCGATGAAAAGAACCATTAACCCAGAATTCTTATATCCAGCAAAAATGTCCTTCAGGAATGAAAAGGAAAGCAAAACATTCTCAGAGGAAGTGAAACAGAATTTGTCACCAGAAGACCCACACCAAAAGAAAGGCTAATGGAAGTTCTCTAAGCAGAATGGCAACCATCAAAGAAGAAAACCCTGGAACTTCTGGAAGGAGGAGATGACAAGCACACCAACGCATAAATACAATAGACTTTTCCCTCACCTCTTGACTTTGCTAAATTATGTCTGAAGGTTCAACCAAAAATTATAACATTGTCATATGTGGTTATCAATGTAAGTAAATGAAATATTTAAGGCAAGTATATTATGAACAGAAGAACATAAAGGAACATCAAAGGAGGTAGTTTCTATATCCCTGAAGCTGGTAAATGACAACATCAGGTAAAATCTGATAAGTGTTCATACATACACAGGCTGAGTGTCCCTTATAAAATGCTCAGGAGCACAAGTGTTCCAAATTTCAGATTTTTATCAGATTTAGGAATATCTGCATATAAATAATGAGATATTTTGGGGATAGGACCCAAGTCTAAATACATTCATTTATGTTTTATATATAACTTACACACAGAGCCTGAAGGTAATTTTATATAGCATGCTTAGTAATTTTGTGCATGAAACAAAGTTCATGCTAAGTACTTATGAATGGAATTTTCAATTTGGGGGCGTCATGCTGGAGTGCCATAAAGTTTCGAATTTTGGGGCATTTCAGATTTTGGATTTTGGGTTTACAGATGCTCAATCTGTATGTAATATATTACCTAGAAAAGCCACTAAAAAAGCTATACAAAAAGATACACTCTAAAACACTACAGATGAAATAGAATGCTAAAAATGGTCAAGTAAACCACAGAGAGCCAGGAAGAACCAAACCGAAAAAATGAAAAACAGAAGAAATAGAAAATGCAAAACAAAATGGCAGTGTTAAGCCTCAATTTATCAATGACATTAAATTAAATGTAAACAATCTAAATACATCAATTAAAAGACACTAGGAGAGTAGACTAGAGAACATGATCCAACTATATGTTGTCCATAAGAAAGTGACTTCAAACAGGCAAACTGAAAATAGAAGTATAGAAAAAAAAAGATCATGCAAACATTACTGAAAGGACAGCAGGAGTTGGCTATATTTATATCAAATAAAGTAAACTTCAGAACAAAGATAATTACCAGGAGGGCCGGGCACAGTGGCTCACGCCTGTACTCCTAGCACTTTGGGAGGCCAAGGTGGGTGGATCTCAGGAGTTTGAGACCAGCCTGGCCAATATGGCAAAACCCCATCTCTACTAAAAATACAAAAATTAGCTGGGTGTGATGGCAGAAGCCTATAATCCCAGCTTCTCAGGAGGCTGAGGCAGGAGAATCACTTGAACCTGGTAGGGTCGGAAGTTGCAGTGAGCTGAGATCATGCCACTTCACTCCTGCCTGGGCAAAAGGAGCGAAACTCCGTCTCAAAAAAAAAAAAAGATAATTACCAGGAACCAACGGCAACATTACAAAATGAGAACTTGGTCAATCCACCATTAAGACACAGCAATTCGAAACGTGCAGACACCAAACAAACAAAAAAACAATGAACAGAACCGAAAGGAGAAAAAGACATTTATACTTTTATAGTTGGAGACCTCAAAATCTCTCTCTACAGCTGATAAAATTAGGAGACAGAAAAGCTGCCAGGATATAGAACGCAACATCACCATCCATCAACTAGAGCCAATCAAAATTTATAGAACACTCCAGCCAATAATAACAGAATACATAATCTTTTCAAGTATCCACAAAACAAATACTAAGTTAGAACATATTCTGAGGCATAAAACAAACCTAACAAATTTTTTGAAATTAAAATCACACAGCATATGTTCCCTCAAACAATGGGAACAAATCTGAAGTCAACAAGAGAACAATTACAGGAAAATTGCCTAACTCTCAGAAACTAAACAATAAACTTTTACATAACCCATGGATCAAAGAGAAAGTCTCAAGGGAAATTTTAAAATATATTGTGAACTGAGAGAAAATGCAAGTACAATACATCAAAATGTATGGGAAAGAGCTACAGTGGGTGACGAGAGACAAATTTACAGCACTAAATGAATGGTACATTAGAAACTTGGAAACAAATCAATAATATAAGTGCCCACGTTGACAACCTAAAAGAAAATTAAAAATAGCAAAATCAACCCAAAAGTAAGCAGAAAGGAAGAAATAATTAAGGTAAGAGTAGAAACAAAGTGAAAACAGAAAAACAATAAACAGTAAAGCAAAAAGCTGGTTCTTTGAAAAGATCAATAAAACTGACACACCTCTCTAAGCAAGACTGACAAAAAAAAAAAAGACATAAATTACCCAACATTAGTGATGAAACAGGCTCTAAAGATATGAAAAAAGATAATTAGGAATTACTAGGAACAACTCTACACACATAACTTTGACAACTTGGGCAAAATAGACTTATTCCTCAAATAATGCAAATTACCACAACTCACCAAATATAAAATAGATCATTTGAATAGCTCTACCACTATCAAGAAAACTGAATTCATAATTCAAAGAATCCCAAAAAAAAAAAAAGAAATTACCAGATCCAAATGAACTCACTGGATAATTCCATCAAACATTAAAAAAGAATTAACACAGACTCAAAACAATCTCTTCTGGAAACTAGAAAAGGAAAAACTTCCCAATTCATATTAAGAAGCTAATATTAGAGCTAATATTAGCATTTTAAGAAGCTAATATTAGAGCTAATATTAGCATTTTAAGAAGCTAATATTAGAGCTAATATTAGCATTTTAAGAAGCTAATATTAGAGCTAATATTAGCATTTTAAGAAGCTAATATCAGGTACCGTACCTAAAGACAGTACAAACTACAGAACAATATACCTTAATATATATATAGACACAAAAATATTCAGTGAATTATTAGCAAGTAGAAGTAAACAATATATAAAAAGAATTCCACATCATCGCCAAGTAGTTTCATTCCAGGAATGCAAAGCTGGTTCAACAGTCAAATATCAATGTAACCCACCCTATTAATAGACTAAAGAACAAAAATCACATAATTACATATCAATTGATTTAGAAAAAGCAAATGACAAAATTCAATACTCGTGAATGATAAAAATTCTCAGAAAATAGCAACAAATGGGAACTTCATCATCTTGATAAACAGCATTTACAACACCTTAAGCTAAAACCTATGCCAACAAGAATGTCAGAAAGGGTCCTCCCAGACCTATTTATACAGCAGAGAGAATCATTAAGAATGATTTAGATAGTTACTAAGAGTTTACTCTCCTAAGAGATTACAACACCCAATGGCCAGCAAGCCCTTTTCATTAGACAAAAAGAAAAGCTGTGATCTGTCAACACTCTCAGAAGGTTCACTGTGAAATGTGCACTTCTGAACTCCTGCTGAGGGCCTACACGCTGCAATGTTGAGAAGCAAGTGTCCAGAGGTCTCCTTGGAAACATTGCAAAAAAAATGTGAGGGACTGATGGATGAATAGAAGGATGAAAAGGTGGAGAGAACGGTGATAAAGCACGTGGGATGATGCCAGCGGCACAATCTTAGGTGGTGAATATGTGGGTGCGCGCTGTAAAATTCTTTCAACTTTTCTGTATATATTTTTTTCATAATAAAATGTTGGAAAAAATAAACCTGTGAAAAAGGAAGCTTTAGTCAAACATATCTAAGCAAAAGAAAAAACAAATTCTAAATTCCTATGGCTCAAATTAACGTGTTTTTCTTTTTAGGCTGAGATGGAAGAGTAAAAAAACAGAAAAAGAAATGAAAGGAATAGGAGCTATTCTAACAGCTACAAATTCCACCTGCAGTTTGATTAAAGATGGCGTGGCTCAAGAATATGCTTTGAATCCAAGCCCCTTCAAGGCTGCCAGGTACAGAGTCGGTTCTGCAAAAGCTCTGTACCTGTGAACAAGCAGAGCTTCCAAATAAACCGATTAAAGCTGCCCTGAGTCAATAAGCCGGGCTTTAATCTGAGCAAGAAAGGTACATTTTTAGTCTAGTTACCCACCCATAACTGTAGGTACTTTGATACCTAGGTGAGGGGAAACATGGAGAAAGGCAAAATAACAGATTTTTAAAATCACAACAAATCTTTATCAAACATTTGTGCCAGGCACTGACTTAAGAGCTTCAAATGCATTATTTCATGTCATTTGCACAGCAACTCTCTGAGTAAGTACTTTCACTTATTTTATATATAATTTTAATTATTTACATTATATTATACTTATTCCTTTTTTTTGTTTGTTTTTTTTGTTTTGAGATGGAGTCTCACCCTGTCACCCAGGCTAGAGTGGTGGTGCAATCTTGGCTCACTGCAAGCTCCGCCTCCTGGGTTCATGCCATTCTCCTGCCTGAGCTTCCCGAGTAGCTGGGACTACAGGTGCCCACCACCACGCCCAGCTAATTTTTTTGTATCTTTAGTAGAGACAGGGTTTCACCACGTTAGCCAGGATGGTCTCGATCTCCTGACCTCATGATCCGCCCGTCTCAGCCTCCCAAAGTGCTGGGATTACAGGCATGAGCCTCTGCACCCGGCCACTTATTCCTATTTTATACATGAGAGGCCCAAGGTGAGACAAAGTGATTTGTGTAGAGTCAGAGATAAAGCCAAAATTGATACCCAGACAGACTGAAAAACTTCTCTGTCAGAAAATCTAGAAATGGTAAAGGGAGATCTTCAAACTGAAGGAACATGATAACACAAGGTAGCTGGGACAGAAACAAAACCTTAAGGGCCCATAATGGTAAAATGAAAGTTAACATAAAAAACTTTTTTTTGGCCAGCCATGGTGGCTCTTTGGGAGGCCGAGGTGGGTGGATCACCTGAGGTCAGGAGTTCGAAACCAGCCTGACCAACATGACGAAACCATGTCTCTACTCAAAAATACAAAATTAGCCAGGTGTGGTGGCGTATGCCTGTAATCCCAGCTACTCGGGAGGCTGAGCCAGAATCGTTTGAACCCAGGAGGCAGAGGCTGCAGTGAGCCAAGATCATGCCATTGCACTCCATCCTGGCAGCCTGGGCAACAAGACCAAAACTCCGCCTCAAAAAAAAAAAAAAAAAGAGGCCAGGTGTGGTGGCTCACACCTATAATCCTATAATCCCAGCACTTAAGGGTGGCTGAGGCACGTGGATCACCTAAGGTCAGGAGTTCGAGGCGAGCCTGGCAAACATAGTGAAACCCTGTCTCTACTAAAAATACAAAAACGTTAGCCAGGCACGGTGGTGTGTGTCTGTAATCCCAGCTACTAGGGAGGCTGAGGCAGGAGACTCGCTTGAACCTGGGTGGCGGAGGTTGCAGTGAGCTGAGATTGTGCCATTACACTCCAGTCTGGGCAACAACAGCAAAACTCCGTCTCAAAAAAAAAAAGACTTTTTTTTCTCTTTTCAAATTTGAGGGGAAAAAATGTAATTGCCTATTTAAAGCAAAAACAAAAACATCATATTGTGGGGTTTATACCATGTTTCACTTGGACATGACACAGCAACACTACCAACCAAGAACATGTCAGAAGCAGGAAGCTACAGTCAGAGCACTGCCCCGCAGCTCAGGCAGTGTAATACCATTTGAGAGTGGGCAGTGACAAGTGAAAGATGTAACTGAAAACGCCAGAGATGATAGATTTAAACCCAAGTAGTCTAAAGATTCCAAATAAAAAACAGAGGTTGTCAGGGTGAATAAAGAAGCAAGACCTAATTAAATGATACCTGAAAGAAATCTACTTTACACATACACAAAGTTTGAAAGTGAAAAAAGCTAAACCTGGCAAACACACCACGCAAACACCAAATCAGAAGAAAGGAGAGTAGTCAGACCAAGGTGACTTCACAACAAAGAATGTCACCGGAGATTAAGGGGGTCAAATTTATGAATATGGCGTAAAAATCCTAAAAGTGCATGCACCCTATAACATTCTCAAATACATGAAGCAAAACCTGCAGAGCTGAAAGAAAATAATCCATAATTAGCATGAGAGATTTCAATTCTCCTCAGAAGAAAGAGGAACTAAGCAGTGAAATTGCTCTTCATGCCTCCCCAGCACAATGGAGATACTCCTGGGAAATAAAGCCAGTCACTGGGGCTGATCTCCCAGAACACTGAGACTGGCTTCTCTGTAAATAAATGACTGGTATTTGCTAGGAGAAGTGTCCTTATCTATGAAATGTTTTTAGCAAGATGTGGTTAGTTTAGGATTGTGTTTGGTAAACATACCTAAAATCCATGGACTTATGGGACATGGCTCCCTGGAAAAGGTTCCCTAAGGTGTATAAACTATCTGACTACAAAACGGGAACACTGCACATCCTTAATGCTCCTTGTGCAGTGAGATGACGACACACCTCAGTGAGAGGACCACACGCCTCAGTGAGAGGTCTCATCTCGCAGGCCGGGCTCAAAGAGGATGGACCTGCGGGGGTTGCACAGACTCTCCCACATCTCTCCCCACTTTGCCTGAGCACACAAGTGAGGATATTACTTGTATCTTTAAAGTTACTAAGTAATCAGCTACGGGTAACATCTCTGAGATTCATGTCAAACTAATGTGGTAAGCCAACCTTGTGTGTTAGTTCAACTCCTCTCCTAACAGTGACTAGAACAAGCAGGCAGAAAACTATTTCAAGTCAAGGATACCTGAACACTATCAACTTGATCTCACTAAGCTTTACAGAGCAGCAAAATACACTTTTTTTTTTTTTTGAGATGTAGTCTTGCTTTGTCACCCAGACTAAAGTGCAGGGGTGCAATCGAGATTACAGGCACCCACCACCACACCCAGCTAATTTTTGTATGTTTCGTAGAGACAGGGTTTCACTATGTTGGCCAGGCTGGTCTCGAACTCCTGACCTCAAGTAATCCACCCACCTCAGCCTCCCAAAGTGTTGAGATTACAGGCAGGAGCCACTGCACCCAGCCACATTCTTATTACATGTGCATGAAACATTCCACAGAATGCACCATATTCTGGGGCTTCAGACAAGCCTCAGCATTGAAATCACAGAATATGTTCTCTGACTACAACTAATTTAGAAATTGTTAACAGGAGATATTTGAAAATCCCCAAATATTTGGAAATGAAATAACACATTTCCAAATAATAAGTGAGTAAAAGAAGAAATTAAAAGGGAAATTAGAAAATATTTTCAACTGAATGAAGATGAAAATGAATAAACATTTCCAAATTTGTGAAATGTGGCTAAACAATGCTTAGAGGGAAATTTATATTATAGTTTTGAACACTTGTTAGAAAAGACAAAAAATCTGAAGTCAATGATCTAAGCCTTTACCTTAAGAAACTAGAAGAGACAGAAGAACAAATGGAACCCAAAGCCAGCAGAAAAAAGGAAATAATAAAGAGTAAAGCAGAAATCAATGAAAAAGAAAACAAACAAAATCAATAAAACCAACAACTGGTTCTTTGAAAAAACTCAAACTGATGACTTCTAGGAAGACTGATCAAAATCGAAAGAGAGAAAATACAAGGCACATTTCAGCAAATTTCTGGATAACAGGTAGTATATGCTGGTACTTACTACATGCAAAATAATAGCATACGCACTTTGTCTGGCCTACTGTACTGATCCCATAATAACCTATGAGGTAGGTACTACTACTAACCCCAAATACGAATTTTTTTTTAAGAGACAGGGTCTCACCCTGTCACCCAGGCTGGAGTGTAGAGGCACAATCATAGATCACTGCAGCTTCAAACTGATGGCCTCAAGCAATTCTCTCACCTCAGCGTCCCAAAGTGCTGGGATTACAGGCGTGAGCTACCATGCATGGTGTCACTAATTATTTTTATATATGTACATTTACATATGTATGTCCATGCCAGGAAAGAAAAGCCTGAATATCCACTCTGAAGGGATAATAGTGGCTAACTCTTAGAGGAAAACTGAAATTGGGGTGGGCAGCCAGGTGAAATTTCTGCTTTTATAATCGATACATTTTTATAAGAAAACATTTATTTGATGTATATTTTTAATTGGAACGAAAATGCATCAGACATTTTAAAAAATTCAATTACACACAAAAAAGTAAGCAAAGAATAAATATATGGGTTTTACTGGGTTGGAGAAAGGGAAGAGATTATGAAAGTCCATCCATGATAAGGAACTCCTATAACCCAAAACAAAAAACTCAATTAAAAAATGGAATTAGCTGGGTGTGGTGGTGCCCGCCTGTAGTCCCAGCTACTCGGGAGGCTGAGGCAGGAGAATGGCGTGAACCCGGAAGGTGGAGGTTGCAGTAAGCCAAGATCATGCCACTGTACTCCAGCCTGGGTGACAGAACAAGACTCTGTCTCCAAAAAAAAAAAAAAAAAAAAGAAAGGGCAAAAGGGCCAGGCACAGTGGCTCATACCTGTAATACAGCACTTTAGGAGGCCAAGGTGGGTGGATCACCTGAAGTCAGGAGTTCAAGACCAGCCTGGCTAACATAGTGAAACTTCGTCTCTACTAAAAATACAAAAAATTAGCCAGGCACGGTGGCGGACACCTGTAATCCCAGCTACTCGGGAGGATGAGGCAGGAGAATCACTTGAACCTGGGAGGTGGAGGTTGCAATGAGCCAAGATTGCACCACTGCACTCCAGCCTGGGCAACAAGAGCCAAACTCCATCTCCCCAAAAAAAAAAAAAAACAAAAAACGGGCAAAGGATTTGAATAGACATTTCTCCAGTGAATGTATACAAATGGCCAATAAGCATGTAAAAAGATGCTCAGCATGACTAATCAACAGGGAAATACAAATCAAAACAATGAGATGCTGTACCTACTCACACAAATTAGGATGGCTATCATCAGAAAACAAAAAGTGTTGGTGAGGGTGTGGAGAAATTGGAACCTTAGTATACTGCTGCAAGAATGTAAAACAATGTAGCCACTGTGGAAAACAGTTTACTGCTTCCTCAAAAAGTTACACATAGTGCCAGGTGCGATGGCTCACATCTGAAATCTCAGCAACTCAGGAGTCTGAGGCAGGAAGATCCCGTGAAGCCAGGAGTATAAGACCGGCCTGGGCAACACAGTGAGATTCTGTCTCTAATTAGTCAAGCGTGATGGCTGGGCAACAATGTCAATATATTTAATGCCAATGAACTGTACACATAAAACTGGTTAAAACGGTAAGTTACATGGTATGTATATTTTACCACAATATTTAAATTTTTTAATTAGTTTTTAAAAAATTGTTACCAAAAAAATACTAAGAATCCATTCAAGTTATTTAGAAAGGGAGTGTCAGATCAACCTTTCCAAAGTGCCAAAATTCGCAAGATCACCTGGTTGCTTGCCCCATACCCAGCTGTCCAGAATTGACTTGGCCCTATATATAGGTGCAGGAGTTTCTTCTTCATCTTTTTTCTCTTTGTCATTCAGATCTTTCTTTGTCCCACTTGGTTCGACACTATCATCTGCAGAATTAAAAATTTTTTAATCTGTCACCGCTTTTCAGAATGTCATACCGTTAGCCTCTGCAAATGTCCCTCCCCGAAAAGTTACAACACACATGATTAACTGAATGCTTGACAACTTAAAAATAAAATACATCAATCATACCTGTAACAGATCCAGTATAATTTTCATAAAGAAACCAATATATTGGCCGGGCGTGGTGGCTCATGCCTGTAATCCCAGCACTTTGGGAAGCCATGGCGGGTGGATCAGGAGGTCAGGATATCGACACCATCCTGGCTAACACGGTGAAACCTCGTCTCTACTAAAAATACAAAAAATTAGCTGAGCATGATGGCAGGCGCCTGTATTCCCAGCTACTCGGGAGGCTGAGGCAGGAGAATGGTGTGAACCTGGGAGGCAGAGCTTGCAGTGTGCTGAGATCATGCCACTGCACTCCAGCCTGGGTGACAGAGCGAGACTCCATCTCAAAAAAAAAAAAAAAGAAACCAATACAACAAATTATTTAAAGGATGTCTTCCAAAATGATATTCCATCTACTTCCTAGTACATTTCTTAACTGAGAAACTTAAGTCTTTCATATTTACCTACTTCAATTTCACACCAATTGCTTTTATCCAGTGAGTCCCAGTGCTTGTGTATCCATGGGAAAAGGGAGGGTGTAGAACAAGAGTATGATTCAAAAATCTTTTAACTCTTTACAAGGCCCTACTCCACTGCCAACTGGGAAGCACTGCTATGCAGGGGCACTGTCACTGCTGGCATAATTCAAGAGCACTGGGACACAAAGGAAAAGCTGAGAAAAATCACTTTAGGCCACTGACAATGTCAAGTTTCAGTCAAAAACAACTGTCATAAAACTCCTTACACAGTAAGCGAAGAGAAGAGAGAACTAACCTTAACCTTGAAGTGTAAACACATTCCATCACAGAAGGCTGTGACTAAATGTCTAACAACATAATTAGAAAAATGTATCTCAATCGGGGAAAGACATGATATCCCATCCAGATTACAAATAATGACTATCTAAAAATCTCGAAGGAAACAGTTCCTCTGTTTACAACACTTCTGACACCAAATGTATGGACTTTTGCACCAAGCAATTCTCCAGTTCTCTGCGACACCCAGCTTTGTGTCCCACAGTGCAATTCAATTCTGAAACTAACTACCTAGAATTAGCACAGACCCCACAGGTTAATAACAAGAGAGAAAAGGTGAATGCTGAAAAAAATATCCAAAGAACTAATGGCTGAAAACTTCCTAGGTTCAGCAAATGACATAAACCCAGGCAGACTGAAGAATCTGCACAAAGCCCACACAAGATAAATCCAAAGGAAGCCATGACGAGGCACATCATAATCAACTGCTAAACACTAAGGACAAAACCTTTTGAAAAGTGCCACGGAAAGTAGATACAGAAGAATTTCTCGTGTGGCCTGAAATTAAGACTAAATATTACGTGCTGCCTTGACATTGGTAAAATCAAGAAGGCCTCAAATAGCCTAACCACAAGGTCTCCCCTGAGCTCTGCTCTCACGGATAAGATCCCAAAGCCAAACAACCTCCTTATCGCGGAAACCCGACCCCAGCCTGCTCATCCCTGCCGGCCCAGAGTTATTCAAACAAGCCAGTCACATCTTCCCATGGAAGCAAGGTCATCTCACCCTCCTGTTACTACAAAATGTGCCTCCCACAGCCCCTCGTGGTTCGCTCTGTTCCCAAGTGCAGCCCCCGTGTGGCATGCGGTGTCCCCCACCCCAGGGCTGTGAGCATGCGTGACTAATAAACTGCTATTTCATCTGTCCAGTGTCGGTGTCCTACGTTCAGCCATCCCATATCCCTAGGGCAGGAATCTTCTAGGGTTATAAACAGAACTTTAATCAACCTCTCCTTGGTTATTTTACTGGTTCCATGATACAGCTTTTTCTGTGCAAAAGATCTGAACAGAAACTCACAGAGGATACAAGAGTGGCAAAAAAGAACATGATATTCAGCATTGTTAGCCATTACAGAATTGCAAATTAAAACCACAATGAGATCCCACTAGACTTGTTAGAATGGCTCAACTAAAAATCACTGATAACACCAAGTGCTAACAAAGACACAGAGCAACAGAAACGTGACAGATTGTCAGCGGGAATGCAAACTAAAACAGCCTCCAGTTTACCAAGGTAGACACCTCGAGTCACAGAATACAGAGTAGAACCCAGCCAGGAACACGGCTCAGGTGAGAACACAGGTGCTGGCTCTGAATGCCAGACTCTGCCGTGTGTGTGTGTGTGTGTGTGTGTGTGTGTGTGTGGTCACTAACCACAGCCCACAGGACAAACCCAGCCCACAGCCTTTTTGTGTATGGTCTGAACACAGAGAAAGTATTTTAGTTTTGTTGTTCTTTTGAGATGGAGTCTTGGCTCACCACAACCTCTGCCTCCCAGGCTCAAGCGATTCTCCCAGGTTCAAGTGATTCTCATGCCTCAACCTCCGAGGAGCTGGGATTACAGGGGTGCATCACCATGCCCGGCTAATTTTTTGTTTTCAGTAGAGATGGGGTTTCACCATGTTGGCCAGGCTGGTCTCGAACTCCTGACCTCAGGTGATCCGCCTGCCTCGGCCTCCAAAAGTGCTGGGATTACAGGTGTGAGCCACCACGCCCAGCCACCGTATTTTATAGTTTTTAATAATTGAAAAATAATCAAAAGAAAAACAGTATTTTGTGACTTGCAAACATTCTGTGGACTTCATCTTTTCGTGTCCATAAATAAAGTTTACAGAATGAACGTCCCCAGCCCGCTGACGTAGTATTGTCTGTGGCTACTCTGGCACTACAGCTGCAAGGTCCCATGGCTATGACAGAGACCATAGGGTCCATTGAGAGCTTAAAATATTTACTATCTGGCCCTTTACAGAAAGTAGGCCACCCCTACCCTACATCTGGCTATAAATTTTACAAATTTGACAAATTCTGAGACCCTGTCTCAGAAAATAAAATAAAATATTCATAGTCTTAATAATGGAAAACAAAAACATTTACTGAATGCCAAAACATCTCCCTAACAATCCCAATCAGTTGGGATCTACATAAAGAACAATTATGCTCTGCTTTCCAACCATGATTTTTAAAAGAACAAAAGACAAAAAAATTCATCAAATGTGGGCTGGGCATGGTGGCTCACACCTGTAAACCCAGCACTTTGGGAGGCCGAGGTGGGCAGATTATGAGGTCAGGAGTTCAAGACCAGCCTGACCAAGATGGTGAAACTCCGTCTTTACTAAAAATTCAACAATTAGCTGGGCATGGTGGAGGGCGCCTGTAATCCTAGCTGAGTACTCAGGAGGCTGAGGCAGAGAACTGCTTGAACCCGAGAGGAAGGGGTTGCAGTGAGCCAAAATCATGCCGCTGCACCCCAGCCTGAGCGACAGAACAAGACTCCCTCTCGAGAGGAAAAAACAAAAAAAATTCATCAAATGTAATGAATAAAACATATACTTTGGATTTTGCCATGTACTTAGCTTTTCTTAGAGCACCTTTTAGAACTATTGTTTCACAGAAAACACTTTGGGAAACGTTTTAATTTATAAACAAATACTGGAGGGCTAGGAAGAAGAGGTTAAAACTTTTTAAAATATACAGAATGAATTACTGATACAGAAAAACAAAAAAAGGTTGCTGATTCCTGTCTTGGAAGACACTGTCATATGGACACTCTTAGCCTCAGCATCCAGAGGTCCAGAAAGGGAAAATTTCAAGTCAGAGAGAATTCTATATATACCACTTACTTGGAACATTCAGCCCTCAAAATCCCAACATCATGACCTCAGTTTCAACACAATTGTCCTTAGTCCTTATGTCACTGCTTTTGGTGCTGCCTGCTGTCAAGGCAGTGGAAGCCAGTGATGCAACTGCTCTCTCGTTAAAAGGTGTGGTTCTCAGTATTACAGGTGTTTGTACTTGCTTGCAGGTATACGCACGAAAGATAAAAATGAACAGATGTGACTTTGAAGGGCCTAATGAATGAAACCTCACCCTGAAAACCTTTGTGCTACTGAAACTAAATGTAAGCTTTGGTGTCTGAAAGTTTCCAAGAATTAGTAAGTAGGAGAGTTTTACTTTCTGAGTTGATTCCATGAAATGGGAACAAATTGGTACATAAATGGATTTTGCCCAGAATCCTAGGAAATCGCCACTGTTCAGTCGTAATCACTGCCTCCTAAATCACTGAGTCTGTTCTCTGTATTTTTATTAGACTTTTGTCATCTCCCCAATTCAGATATCCAATAGTCAGCCAAAAAGGGAAACTTTTATCTCTGGAAAGAAAAAAAATCATTTAGAAAAATGTGTTCAGTGTATCTAATACTGAAATGGAGAAAAGACTTAATGTTAAAGAAAAAAAAACACTATAGACATTGACATGGAAAAGAGATTTAATGTTAATAAAAACTTTATATTAACTGAGTAACACCTCCTGATGAGAAGTGCTATATTAAATATAAACCCATTACGTTGTTTAAAAAAAAAAAACATGAAAATCAAAAGCACTAAACAGAGTGAAAGAAGCCAAGACACAGAAGAACCCGACTACATGATTCCATGTATGGAGTTCTAGAACAGGCGCAATTTGTCAATGCTGGAGAAACATCAGGCCAGCTATTGCCTCTGGGAAGAAGGGGCAGGACACCAGAGAACTTTCTGAGCAAGAGTCATGATAAAGATGTGGGTTACACGGGTTACATTTGTCAAAACTTGTGAAATGGTAAACTCAAAATAGATACATTTCATTATATATAAATTTTACCTGAAAGTCAAAAACAAAGTTGAACTAGAATCAATTACATACATGAGTGTCTAAGGAGCTAGGTGAGACAAACGGTGGATGGACAGACAGCAGGATGTGGAGCCAAATACGGTGGCAGGACATGGAGGTGGGTCTGCAGCCACTCACTGTACACGTCTGTCAGTTATTGTGTGTGTGTGTGTGTGTGTGTGTGTGTGAATATTTTCAAAAAAATATAAAAAATAAATTAAAATAAAAACACAGGTAACTCTGCTTGACACTGAAACTGAAGAGGGAGACTAATACTTTTTCCCATGGTTTGTTTTGTGTTTTTTGTTTTTTTTTTTTGAGATGGAGTCTCACTCTGTCACCCAGGCTGGAGTGCAGTAGCACAATATCTGCTCACTGCAACCTCCACCTCCCGGCTCCAAGCAATTCTCCTGCCGTGCCCTCCCAAGTAGCTGGGATTACAGGCGCCCGCCACTATGCCTGGCTAATTTTTGTATTTTTTAGTAGAGACGGGGTTTCACCATGTTGGCCAGGCTGGTCTCAAACTCCCAACCTCAAATGATCTGCCCGCCTCAGCCTCCCAAAGTGCTGGAATTACAGGCACGATCCACCGCGCCCGGTCCCCAAGTATTTTCAAGTGGACACCATCCCAATTCATTCCACAAAAGAAGAATAAATACTTGCCAGGCACGGTGGCTCACGCCTATAATCCCAGCACTTTGGGAGGCTGAGGCGGGCGGATCACGAGGTCAGGAGATTGAGACCATCCTGGCTAACACGGTGAAACCCTGTCTCTACTAAAAAATACAAAAAATTAGCTGGGCGTGGTGGTGGACACCTGTAGTCCCAGCTACTTGGGAGGCTGAGGCAGGAGAATGGCATGAACCCAGGAGGTGGAGCTTGCAGTGAGCTGAGATCGCGCCACTGCACTCCAGCCTCAGCGACAGAGCAAGACTCCTTCCCAAAAAAAAAAAAAAGAAGAAGAAATACTTTCTTCAGACTAATGCTCTCCCAACTGAGCTATTTCAACTTAGAATAAATACTTTCTAAAGTGGTAGCTTTATCCACGTTGATGACTCTCAAGCAGGGGGACCAACGAACTTCAACAGTGGTTCTCAACCAAGGATCTTTTCAGATTCAACAAGTTTAGGGTGTATACAAGCATCCATTTTTTTAAACCTCAATGGGGACTCTGAAACACAGCCACTGTTATGAACAACCTAATGATAGTCCTATTGAGCATGCAAAACTACAACGCTAAATAAGATTGTTCAATGGCATTTCCTTGCAGGCCAAAGGCTTCCAATAAGTGTTTAATACACCCCCAAAGAACACCACAAATGCGGCAAGACGGTTTTGCAATAAAAATGCCTTCAATTCACGTAAAACAATAAAATCCGGGCAGCTTGTATTAACTACCATTTTAGACAACAATCTCCAAAGTAAAAAGCAAAACTTCAAAGAGTTAAGCTCAAAGCTCCTGTTCCTATAGCACATTACAAAATTTCTATAAAATGCATTTTATAATGGTCTTTACCAAATAAAAAACACTAGTTAAAGGCCCTTACCTTTTCCAGGAGGGAGCTATCCGTTCTGGGTTGATTCTGTTCCAGTGTATACAATTTCTCCATCTTTAACCATTTCATTCCACAGACCACAGAGCCCATCTCTTGTGAATGCAAGCTGGCAATGATAAATGAGATAAGCTCACACTCACACTGCAATTTTTAAAGAATGATATGGGAAAAAATCTCAATCGCCCTTATGTATTCGATCATTCGGTAATAAAATCAATGATTTACTGAATTAGTGACTTAATCATTTTACATTTCATGAAAGTCATCCAAGAAATATAAATGAAAAGGTGCATAATAGTATAAATACTATTCTACCTCTTATGTAACATACAAGAAAAATGACACATGGTCGGGCGAGGTGGCTCATGCTTGTCATCCCAGCACTTTGGGAGGCCGAGCGGGGCACATCACGGGGGATCAGGAATTTGAGACCAGCCTGGCCAACACGGTGAAACGCCGTCCCAACTAAAAATACAAAAAATTAGCCAGGCGTGGTGGCGGGCGCCTATAATCCCAGCTACTCACGAAGCCGAGGCAAGAGAATTGCTTGAACCCAGGAGGCAGAGGTTGCAGTGAGCCAAGATCGCGCCACAGCACTCAGCCTGAGTTGATAAGAGCGAGACTCGGTGTTAAAAAAAAAAAAAAAGAAAAAAAAAAAAAAGACACACACACAAACACACACACGTGCATATGCTCTGAAAAGATAAACCGAAAGCAAGTACCAATGACTACCTACGGGGAAATGGGGAGGGGACATGGACAAAGGCAGCAGGACCAGAAAAAGCAACAACATTGTGAGTATACTTTAGATGTCTTTACTTCTGAAACATACATGACTTTCATCCTCAAAAATTAAAATTAAATCATAAAAAAGCAAAACCTACAACTGGCAACAAGCAAATTAACCCATGCATATACAAAGAAAAGTATGTCAAGGGACTTTTGAACTACATATCATTAATAGAATATACTATAATGAAAAATAAAATATTTATCGGTATTGATAACACTCTCACAATTTTAGAACTACTTCATGTTGCACAATAAAGCAGTGTAAATACAATAAAACATGTTTATGATAAAGTATTAAATGTTCTTAGAAATTAAGGTTTTAGGCCGGCCATGGTGGCTCACACCCGTAATCCCAGCATTTGGCAGGCCAAGGCAGGTAAATCACTTGAGGTCAGGAGTTCATGACCAGCCTGGCCAACATGGTGAAACCCCATCTCTACTAAAAATATGAAAAATTAGCCGGGTGTGCTGGTGCATGCCTGTAATCCCAGTCACTCGGGAGGCTGAAGCAGAAGACTAGCATGAACCCAGGAGGCAGAGGTTTCAGTGAGCCGAGATTATGTCACTGTGCTCCAGCCTGGGTAAACAGAACGAGACTCCATCTCAAAAAAAAAAAAAAAAAAATTAAGGTTTTCAGTGGAAAAGAGGAAAAAAAATCAAAGAAATTTTGAAAAACAACTTAAATTGGAAATCTATGAACTTTATTTTTGAATATATTTGCTTACTCTGTTTTTTAAAGGACTAGAATCAAAGGCAATCTGACAGCGGCACCCAGATTTTGGTCTCTCAGAACCATTTCCCGATAAAAGACGCTAGGGCTCTTGGGAAAATAAGTAGATTCAAGGGCCAGGGCAGACAAAGATGAGCCTGTTTCCTCAAAGAAAAAGCTGTTTCCTCAAACATGGCCAGGTGCGGTGGCTCACGCCTATAATCCTAGCATTTTGGGAGGCTGAGGCGGGCAGATCACTTGAGGTCAGGAGTTCGAGACCAGCCTACCCAACATGCCGAAACCCCATCTCTTCTAAAAATACAAAAATTAGCTGGGCATGGTGGCAGGCGCCCATAATCCCAGCTACTTGGGAGGCTGAGGCAGGAGAATAGCCTGAACCCAGGAGGCGGAGGTTACAGTGGGCCAAGACTGTGCCACTGCACTCCAGCCTGGGTGACAGAGCAAGACTTTATCTCAAAAAAAAAAAAAAAAAAAAAAAAAAAGCAGCTGTTCAAAGACGATAGGGACTCCTGGCCAAATTTATAATAATTATAATAACTGTGAGCATCAAAATCAAAAACGCCTTTGCTTGTCAACATTTGTGAGTCAGAAAAGGCTTCCCAGAACAGGAAAAGGGAGCATTTCAGACACTGGGGGAAGGCATCCATTCTGAAAACTGCGTATGTGACAGAAGCTCCCTTGTCTGGCAAAACAAAAGCCATTTTTAATTAAAAGAGACAGATGTTTGCCCATCTTTTTTTTTTTTTTAACTTCTGTGGATACACACTAGTTGTATGTATATATATATGGGTTATATATTCTATCTAACTTTTTTTTTTTTTTGGAGACGGATCTCGTTCTGGCACTAAGCTGGAGTGCAGTTGTGCGATCTCAGCTCACTGCAACCTTTGCCTTCTGGGTTCAAGGGTTTCTCCTGCCTCAGCCTCCCGAGTAGCTGGGACTACAGGCTCACACCACCACACCCAGCTAATTTTTGTATTTTTGGTAGAGATGGGGTTTCACCGTGTTGGCCAGGATGGTCTGGGTCTCTTGACCTCATGATCCACCTACCTTGGCCTCCCAAAGAGCTGGGATTACAGGCGTAAGCCACTGTGCCCAGCCCTATCTAACTCCATTTTTATACCCATTAACCATCCGCACTTCACCCCCACTTTATCCTTCCCAGTCTCTGATAACCATCATTCTACTCTATCTCCATGAGTTCAATTACTTTCATTTGCTTAGCACCTACAAATAAGTGAGAACATGCAAAGTTCGATTTTCTGGGTCTGGCTCATGACATTCTGTTCCTGACTTAACATAACGACCTCCAGTTCTATCCATGTTGTTGCAAACGGCAGTATCCCATTCTTTTTCATGGTTGAATAGTACTCCGTTGAGTATATATACCACATTTTCTTCATCCATTCATCTGCTGGGAACACTTAGGTTGCTTCCAAATCTTGGCTATTGAGAATAGTGCTGCAATAAACATGAGAGTGTACATATTTCTTCAACATACTGATATTCTTTCCTCTGGGTATATACCTACCAGTGGGATTGCTGAATCATATGATAGTCCTATTTTTAGTTTTTTGAGGAACCTCCAAGCTAATCTCCATAATGGCTGTGCTAATTTACATTCCCACCAACAGTGCACAAGGGTTCCCTTTTCTCTATATTCTTGCCAGCATTTGTTCTTGTCTTTTGGATATAAGCCATTTTAATTAGGGTGAGATAATATCTCATTATAGTTTTGATTTGCATGTCTCTGATGACCAACCATGTTGAGCACCTGTTCGTATTGCCTGTTTGTCATTTGTATATCTTCTTTTGAGAAATGTCTATTCAAATCTTTTGCCCATTCTTATTGGATTATTAGATTTTTTTCCTATAGAGTTGCTTAAGCTAATTATATATTCTGGTTATTAATCCTTTGTCAGATGGGTAGTTTGCAAATATTTTCTCCCATTCTGTGGGTTGTCTCTTCATTTTGTTGATTGTTTCCTTTGCTGTGCAGCTTTTTAACTCAATGTGATCCCACTTGTCCATTTTAGCTTTGGTTGCCTGTGTTTACGAAGTATTACTCAAGAAATCATTACCCAGTGCAATGTCCTGGAGAGTCTCCCCAATGTTTTCTTTTAGCACTTTCATAGTCTGAAGTCTTAGGTTTAAGTCTTTACTCCATTTTGATGTGATTTTCGTATATGGTGAGAGATAGTGGTCTAGTTTCATTTTTCTGCATATGGGTGCCCCATTTTCCCAGCACCATTTATCAATGAGGCTATCCTTTCCCTCATGTATCCTCCGGGCACCTCTGTCAAAGGTGAGTTCACTGTAGATGTATAGATCTGTTTCTGGGTTCTCTATTCTGTTCCATTGGTCTAGGTGTCTGTTTTTATACCAGTACCATGCTGTTTTGGTATACCTTTCTAGTAAACTTTGCACTTGATCTAAGCCAAAAAAGACCAGGAAGTGACTGTAGTATAATTTTAAGTCAGATAATGCAATTTCTCCAGTTTTGTTTTTTGCTCAGGATGGCTTTGGCTATTCTGTCTCTTGTGATTCCATACAAATTTCAGGATTTTTTTTTCTATTTCTGTGAAGAATGTCATTGGTATTTTGATAGGGATTACATTGAACCTGTAGATTGCTTTGGGTAGTACAGACATTTTAATATTGATTCTTCCAATCCATGAACACAGAGTAACTTTTCCTTTTCTGTGTGTCTTCTTCAATTTTCTGCATCAATGTTTTACAGTTTTCGTGGTAGAGATCTTTTCACTTCTTGGGTTAGGTTTATTCCTACGTATTTTACTTTATTTGTAGCTATTATAAATGGAATTATTTTTCTTGATTTATTTTTCATATTGTTCACTGTTGACATATAGAAATGCTACTGATTTGGCTGGGCAAAGTGGCTCATACCTGTAATCCCAGCACTTTGGGAGGCCGAGGCAGGTGGATCACCTGAGGTCAGGAGTTCAAGACCAGCCTGGCCAATGTGGTGAAACCCTGTCTCTACTAAAAATACAAAAATTAGCCAGGCCTGGTGGCAGGCGCCTGTAATCCCAGCTACTCAGGCGGCTAACACAGGCGGATCGTTTGAACCCAGGAGGCAGAGGTTGCAGTGAGCCGAGATTGCGCCATTGCTTTCCAGCCTAGGCCACAGAGTGAGACTCCATCTCAAAAAAAAAAAAAAAAAAAAGAGAGAGAGAGAAATGCTACTGATTTTTGTATGTTAATTTAGTATCCTGCAATTTTACTGAATTTATCAGTTCTAATCATTTTTTGGTGGAGTTTTTAGGTTTTTCCAAATATAACAATCATCTGCAAACAAGAGTAACTTGGCATCTTCATTTCCAATTTAGATGCCCTTTATTTCTTCTTCTTTTTTTTTTTTTCTGAGATGGAGTCTTGCTCCATAGCCCAGGCTGGAATATAGCGGCACAATCTCAGCTCACTGCAATCTCCACCTCTGGGGTTCAAGTGATTTCCCTGCCTCAGCCTCCCGAGTAGCTGGGACAACAGACACCCGCCACCACGCCTAGCTAATTTTTATATTTTTAGTAGAGATAGGGTATCACCATGTTGGCCAGGCTTCAAACTCCTGACCTCAAGTGATCCACTCACCTCAGCCTCCCAAAGTGCTGGGATTATAGGTGTGAGCCACTGCACCCGGCCTTTCTCTCTCTTATCTGACTCCTCTAGCAAGGGCTTCCATTATTATATTGAATAACAGTGGTGACAGTGGGCATCCGTGTCTTGTTCCAGATCTTAGAGGAAAGGCTTTCAGTTTTTCACCTTTCAGTATGATACTAGCTGTGTGTCAGTTGTATATGGCTTTTATTGCATTGAGGTGTGTTCCTTCTATAACCAGTTTTTTGGGGTTTTTATCATGAAAGGATGTTGAATTTTATCAAATGCCTTTTCAGCATGAATTTAAATGATCATATGGTTTTTTATCCTTCATTCTATTGATATGATGTATCAAACTGATTGATTTGGATATGGTGAACCATCCTGGCATCCCTGGGATAAACCCCACTTTGGTCATGATGAACGATGTTTCTAATGTGTTGTTGAATTCGGTTTGCTGGTATTTTGTTGGGTATTTCTGCATCAATGTTCATCTGGGATACTGGCCTGTTTTGTTTTTTTGATTATGTCTTTGTCTGGTTTTGGTATCAGGGTAATATTGGCCTTCTACAGTAAGTTTGGAAGTATTCCCTCCTCCTCTATTTTTCAGAATAGTTTCACTAGGATTGGTAATAGTTCTTCTTTAAATATTTGGTAAAATTCAGCAGTGAAGTCACTGGGTCCTGGGGTTTTTCTTTGCTGGAAGACTTTTTATTATTACAGTTTCAATCTCATTACCTGTTATTGGTATGTTCAGGTTCTGGATTTCTTCATGGTTCAAACTTGGAAGGCTGTATGTGCCTGTGAAATTATCCATTTCTTTTTCCTTCTTTTTTTGAAGACACAGTCTCACTCTTTCACCCAGGGTGGAGTGCAGTAACATGATCTCAGCACACTGCAACCTCCCCCTCCCAGGGCTCAAGTGACTCTCGTGCCTCAGCCTTCCAAGTGGCTGGAATTACAGGCACGCAAAACCACACCTGGTTAATTTTTGTATTTTTAGTAGAGATGGAGTTTCACCATGTTGGCCAGACTGGTCTCAAACTCCTGACCTCAAGCGATCCACCCGCCTCAGCCTCCCAAGGTGCTGGGATTACAGGTATGAGCCACCACGCCCAGCCTGCAAACTTATCTATTTCTTCCATGTTTCCCAATTTATTGACATATAGCTGTTCATAGTCTCTAATGATCCTTTGAATTTCTGCAATATCAGTTGTAATGCCTACTTTTTCACCTCTGATTTGGGTCTTCTTTTTCTCTTAGCCTGCCTGAAAGCTTGTCAATTTATCTTTTAGAAAAACCAACTTTTCATTTCATTGATCTTTTGTATTATTTTCTTCATTTCAACTCCATTTTATTTCTGCTCTAATTTTTATTATTTCTGTCCTTAAAATTATGGGTTTGGTTAGCTCCTTCATTTCTAGTTCTTTAAGATGTATCATTAGGTTATTTATTTGAAGTTTTTCTACTTTTTTGATTTTCCTCTTAGTATTGCTTTCACTATATCCCACAGGTTTCGTATGCTGTGCTGCCATTGCCATTTGCTTCAAGAAATTGTTTAATTTCATTCTTAATTTCTTCACTGACCTGTTGGTCATTCAGGAGCATATTGTTTAATTCCCATGTGTTGGTGGAGTTTCCAAAATTCCTCGTTATTGATTTTTAGTTATAGTCCATTGTGATCAGAGAAGATACTTAACATAATTTTTTTAACTTTTATATGGCAAAAGAGGAATCTAGCTTCATTCTTCTGCATATGAATATCAAGTTTTCCCAACACCATTTATTGAAGAGATTGTCTTTTCCCCAGTGTTTGTTCTTGGTACCTTTGTCGAAAATGAGTTCACCGTAGATGTGCGGATTTGTTTCTGGATTCTCTATTCTGTTCCGTTGGTCTGTGTCTGTTTTATGCTAGTACTATGCTGTTTTGGTTACTATAGCTCTGTAGTATAATTTGAAGTCAGGTAATCTGATTCCTCCAGTTTGTTTCTTTTCAATTATGAGAGCTTCGGCTATTCTGGGTCTTTTGTGGTTCAACATGAATTTTAGGATTTTTTTTTTTTCTGTTTCTGTGAAAAATGTCATTGGTATTTTGCTAGGGATTGCACTCAATCGGTAGATTGCTTTGGGTAGTATGGACATTTTAACAATATTGATTCTTCCGATCCATGAAGATGAAATATTTTTCCATCTTTTGTGTCCTCTTTAATGTCTTTCATCAGGGTTTTAGAGTTTTCATTACAGAGATCTTTGTAATTATCTTCTTTGGTTACTTCCCAGGTACTTAATTTCATGTGTGGCTACTATAAATGGGATTAGTTTTCTAATTTTTTTCATATTGTTTACTGTTGGCACACAGAAATGCTACTGATTTTTGTATGTTGATTTCGTATACTGCAACTGTACTGAATTTATCAGCTCTAATCATTTTCTTGTGGAGTCTTTAGGTTTTTCCACATATAAGATCATATCATCTGCAAACAAGGATAATTTGACTTCTTCCTTTCCAATGTGGAGGCCTTTTATTTCTTTCTCTTGTCTGATTGCTCTAGCAAGAACTTCCAGTACTATGTTGAATAACGGTGGCCACACTGAGCATCCTTGTCATGTTCCAGATCTTAGAGGAAAGACTTTCAGTTTTTCACCATTCAGTATGATACTAGCTGTGGGTCTGTCATATACGGCTTTTATTATGTTGAGGTATGTTTCTTCCATAATCAGTTTTAAGAGATTTTATCATGAAAGGATGTTGAATTTTATCAAATGCCTTTTCAGCATCGACTGAAATAATCACATGGTTTTTATCCTTCTGTTGACATGATGTGTCACATCGATTGATTTGCATATGTTGAACCATCCTTGTACCCCAGGGATAAACCCCACTTCATCACAATGAACGATCTTTCTAACGTATTGCTGAATTTGGTTTGCTAGTATTTTGTTGAGGATATTTGCATCAATATTCATCAGAGACATTGGCCTGTAGTATTCTTTCTTTGACGTGTCTTTGTCTGCTTTTAGTATCAAGGTTTCAATTTTTAATGACTTATTTTGTGGCCTAACATATGGTCTAACCTTGAGGACGATCCATGTGCTAAAGAGAACAATGTAAATTCTGCAGCCATCAGATGAAATGTTCTAGAAATATCTATTAAATCCATTTGGTCTACAGTGCAGATTAAGTTTGATGTTTCTTCGTTAATTTTGTCTGGATGATCTGATCTGTCCAATGCTGAAGTGGAGTGTTGAAGCCTCCATCTATTAATGTATTAACGCCTTTCTCTCTCTTTAGCTGTAATATTTGTTTTATGTATCTGGGTGCTCTAGTGTTGAGTGCATATATACATATATTTATAATAGTTATAGCCTCTTGCTGAATTGGCCCCTTTATCATTACATAATGACTTTTTTGGTCTCCTTTTATAGTTTTGGTCTTGAAATCTATTTGGTCTGATATAACCGCTATGCTCTTTTGTGATTTCCATTTGCCTCTCCCTTTTTCCATCCCTCCGCACCGTCCTGAAGAGATGGTCTCCAATCTGAAGAAGCAAGCAGCCAATGAACTGCCTGTGGGGAGGGGCAGCCTCCAAGAGCCCAGGGTTTCAGTCCCACAACCACAATGGATTCAATTCTACCAATGAGGACCTGAGCTCCAGATGACAGCGTGCCCTAGCCAACACCTTGACTACAGCCTGTGACACCTGAAGTAGAGGATAGAACTAAGCTATGGCCAGACTCCTGACCCACAGAAACTGTGAGAGTGTAAATGCTTGTTGTTACAAGCTGCCAAATTTGTGTTTGGTAACTTGTTCTGTAGCGACAGAAACCAAGCCAGCATCCTTCAGTTTTTGTAGAAGGAACAGCTTTCTCTCAGCACTGTTATTTTTTCTGTTCACATCACTAACAGGATAACTGCCATAAACATACTTGGAACCAAAACATATGACTTTTGGTAAAAATATCAGCTGGTGGGGGAGAGGTAAACTCCTTCCTAAAAAGTGAGCCCTGGCCAGGTAGAGTGACTCACATCTCTAATCCCAGCACCTTGGAAGACTGAGGCAAGAGAATCACTTGTGCCCAGGAGTTCAAAACCAATCTAAGCAACATAGCAAGACCCTGTCTCTACAAAAAAAATTGTAAAATTAGCCAGAAAGCTGGGCATGGTGGCTCACACCTGTAATCCCAGCACTTGGGAGGCCAAGGCAGGTGAATTGTTTGAGCTCAGGAGTACAAGACCAGCCTGAACAACATGGCAAAACCGCATTTCTACCAAAAATACAAAAAATTAGCCAGAGGTGGTGGCGCGCCTGTACTCCCAGCTACTTGGGAGGCTGAGGTGGGAGAACTGCTTGAGACCAGGAGGTAGAGGTTGCAGTGAGTTGAGATCACTCCACTGTACTCCAGCCTGGGCAATAGAGCAAGACCCTGTCAAAAAAAATTTTTAATTTAAATTTAAAAAATTAAAATAATATAAAAAATAAAATTAAAAAGTGAGCCAAAAACATTCAGGGCCCCTGAAGTTTAACGAGTGAATGGAAAGCTTTGACTCTTCTAGTCTTCAGTCAGAGGAGAGCAGTGAATACGTGCACTGGGGTTCAGTCCAAACCCTACCACAATGCACATGATAAGAGGCTAACAGTGGTCAGAACTCACAGCTCCATGTGGGCCGTGCTCCAGGAGTTTCAGACTATCTTTAGGCACTCAAGGGAATACGACATTTGACCCGTGTCTTAAAGTGTTTCAGAAAACAGAAACAGAGAAGGTGAACTAAGAAGCTATTACTGGCCACGCACGGTGGCTGACGCCTGTAATCCCAGCACTTTGGGAGGCCAAAGCGGGTGGATCATGAAGTCAGGAGATAAAGACCATCCTGGCTAACACAGCGAAAACTCATCTCTACTAAAAATACAAAAAATTAGCCAGATGTGGTGGCACGCGCCTATAGTCCCAGCTACTCGGGAGGCTGAGGCAAGGGAATTGCTTGAACCTGGGAGGCGGACGTTGCAGTGAGTGGAGATCGCACCACTGCACACCAGCCTGGGTGACAGAGTGGGACTGCATCTCAAAAAAAAAAAAAAAAAAAAAAGGCTATTACCAAGGGTCCAAAAAAGAAAGGATGACAGCAGAAGTCAACACAGGGAAGTACAGTCTTTAAGATTATTTCAGGCAGGGCACGGTGGCTCACATTTGTAATCCCAGCAGTCTGGGAGGCCGAGGTGGGCAGACTGCTTGAGCCCAGGAGTTCGAGACCAGCCAGAGCAACACGGTGAAACCCGGTCTCTACAAAAAATACAAAAATTAACCAGGCGTGGTGGTACGCACCTGTAGTCCCACTACTCAGGGAGCTGAGGTGGGAGGATCACCTGAGCCCGGGGAGGTTAAGGCTGCAGTGAGCCGTGACGGTGCCACTGCATTCCAGCCTGGGCAACAGAGTGAGACCCTGACTTAAAAAACAAAAAAAGAAACTATTTCAAATCACGTAAGTTAAATCAAATGTGAAAGGGAAAATAAGGGAGGGAACAGAAGAGGAATGAGAATTAGTTCCGTTTTAACCACTAAGATTTGCACTAACTACTGAACATAAACATGGAGCTCCTCCCCACTCCACCAACCCTCAGTAAATATAGATCCAGATCTTAGCAGAGTGTTCAGGGCTAGAGACTCAAATCTGGGAGTAGTCAACAAATGGACTGTAGGTGGTGTCCTGGAGAAGATGCCAACACCCAAGCAGAGAGGGGAGACCCCTGCCCAGCCCTGAAAGCACTCTAAGATCGCCCCAGACTGGCTGGGCTCCACACATCAGTGTTCTGCGGTACAGCCTAGATTGAGAAACATTAGTGTTACAGAGGTACCATTTAAAAAAAAAAAGCCAAAAGATGGAACATTTAAAGACTAAGCCAAGGAGGAAGCCCAGTTTACATGGAAACAAGAATAATTACCACCACCTTTCGATTATTACCTGGGTAGCACTGGGAAGGAAGAGGATAGGCCAGACCTTGTCCTTCTGAGTAACAAGGAATTCTTTTTTGGAAGGTAGACACTGGACTCCTGGAAGGACATGCACTGTGGAAGCCTCCTAGGAACTGATGACCCAAATAAATGGTAAGCACCATTCAAAAAACAATTTGGGCACCTTAAAGGTGGAACATTACTAAGGCAATAAAGCAAGCCTCACTGGAGGAGGTCTCCAGAGAGTTAGACTGTGAACAAGCAAAAGTGAAGCCCAGGAGAAGAGCTCTCCAGATCACAGACAGTACAGGATCCTGACTGAGGAAGCAGCAGCCTGGGAACAACTGGAAGACAGCCGTGGCACTGAGAAGAATGGAGACTACAGGCAGGGCGTGGTGGCCCACGCCGTAATCCCAGAGCTTTGGGAGGCCAAGACAGAAGAACTGCTTGAGGCCAAGAGTTCAAGATCAGCCTGGGCAACATGGTAAGACCGTGTCTCTACAGAAATGTAAAAATTACCCAAGTGCATGGCACGTGCCTGTAATCCCAGCTACTCAGGAGGCTACAGCAGGACGGTCACCTGCACCCAGGAGTTTGAGGTTACAGTAAGCTCTGATCACACCACAGCATTCCAACCTGGGTGACAGAGACCCTATTCATTTAAAAAAAAAAAAAAAGAAAGAAAAAGAAAAAAATGAATGGGACTTTCCATTTGTAAAGTGAGAGTATTTATTTCTACAACTGTCTCCAATTAGCTTTTTATTAGTAGCTGACTTACCTAAACGTGCCCAGTAGCTTTTCAACTTTTGACTTTTTTGGTTCAGATCCCAGAAGCTTCTAATTAGGTTATTTGGGCTAAGAACTCTTTTCCAATCTTTTCCAATCTCACATTCCTATCTTACACCTCTGAAATGACATGGCAAGTAAAGGCACTTTCATCGTCAAAAGACCCCAGCAAAAGAGGCAGTAACAGGCTCACTTTTTGTAAGTTACTAAACTGAAGCTCAGAAGGCCAATGACTTGACCAAAGGCCACACAACACTGAGGCTGTGAGAGGCGGGATTTGGGAAGAGGCCCAACTCCAAGGCTTATTCGCTTCCCACCAACACCATAACATGCACCCACACCTGCAGCACGGCAGCCAGGGCAAGCCTTCACGCTCCCATACATAGGCCACCAATATTTTAATACCAATCAGGACTAGGCAAGCAAACAGTTAAGGCATTTTTTTTTTTTTTTTTTTTTTAAGACAGAGTCTTGCTCTGTCGCCCAGGCTGGAGTGCAGTGGCGCCATCTTGGCTCCCCGGGTTCATGCCATTCTCCTGCCTCAGCCTCCCAAGTAGCTGGGACTACAGGCGCACGCCACCACGCCCGGCTAATTTTTTGTGTATTTTTAGTAGAGACAGGGTTTCACCGTGTTAGCCTGGATGGTCTCGATCTCCTGACCTTGTGATCCACCCGCCTCGGCCTGGGATTACAGGCGGGAGCCACCGCACCCAGCCCGTTAAGGCATTTATTAAAGTGACTTCAGAACTATAGAGTCAGGCAATAAAATCCAAAACTGAATAATATAACAAATGAATATCTGATTAATGTATAGGTTAGAAAATGTTTCTTTTTCATGTCCTTACAATTTGACAGAAAAGTAATCTTCAAATATTTGCAGATGAGTAAAGGTATACGGCTTTTTTTCTTAAACCTACAGAAAAATACTAAACACCTACTGAACGTAGGACAACATATGAAAAAATGTTAAGAACAGGTTCCTAGAACAATTAGAAAGGTCAGACAGGAACATTAAGTACGTCGATTTGAAGACATCCTAGAAGCAGCAAGGGAGTGAGGTCTTCCTAAAGTCTAAGACCCACGAGAGGAAGAAAGAGGCCCAGAGAACCTAAGCACGCAGGGATGAGACTGAGAAGCAAAACGGAGCTTCTGAGAGACTCCCAGGGCCCTCATACAGGAGAAAGAGGCCTGGCAGATCCCATGCTCTGAGCTGGAACCTCAAAGGGCCACACACCAGAAATACAGGTGAGTTAGAAGTAGACCAGCCTTCACGGAAAACCAGCCCAGTTTTGCATTCTCTCAATTTCCAAAGGGACTGCAGTGACCTGGGATTGCCTAGAACATCCTCTCTGGAGGAAGATATTGTTACCTAGAGCCTCGATTTATTGCTACAATATTGCATATACAATATCTGAAAGTCAAGCAAATATAATAATGACAAAGATACAAGACCACATCATTGAAAAATGAAAAAAAAATAGAAGTCATTAGAACAGACCGAGTAGATCCTGAAAACAGAAATATAAAGACTTCTGTCGTGAAAGAAGAGCCTGAGGAATGAACTGAAGTGTTGACACTCTGCTCAGCAGATGTCAGCTCGGGGCAATGGGGTGAGGGAAGTGGGAAAGTGAGACAAGGAGATCAATGAAGTAACGATATGCAGTATATGACTTCACAGTCAGCTAAGTGTGATTTTAGCCTACTCTGCCTATGTAGGAGCCATTCTTATTTCCTTTAATTTCCTAAAAAAAGAAAAATATATATTAAAAAAGAGTGATTTTATATTTTTCAATGGTTGCAACATAATCAAAAGAATCATATGTCAGCCAAGCACGGTGGCTCACACCTGTCATCTCAGACTTTGGGAGGCCAAGGCGGGCGGATCACGAGGTAAGGAGTTCACGACCAGCCTGGCCAACATGATGAAACCCCATCTCTACTAAAAATACAAAAAAAAAAATTAGTGAGGCATGATGGTACACGCCTGTAATCCCAGCTACTCCAGAGTCTGAGGCAGAACAATTGCTTAAACCCAGGAGGTGGAGGTTGCAGTGAGCCAAGATCGCGCCACTGCACTCCAGCCTGGGCAACAGAGCAAGACTCCCTCTCAGAAAAAAAAAAAAAAAAAAAATCATATGTCAACAAATGAAAATTATATGACATTCAAATTCTGGTATCCACAAAGTTTTCCTGGAATATAGCCATACACATGTTTGGCAGCTTCTCGCAGGACAATGGCCAAGGTGAGCTGTTCTAAAAGAGCACGTACGGCCCACATAAACATTTACTATCTGGTGCTTTACAGAAAAAATGTGCTGACCCCTATGTTAGTGCCACCTCTTCTCAATGAGCTGCAAATACAACCAACTGTTCAGCCAGCACATTCACTAGGCATATGTGGCTTTTCCAGAAGGTTTGCAAGAAGAAACTACACCATAAAATAGTCCAAAGAGGAAAGAAAAAAGGGAGGAATAAAAACACTGAGTTCCCTCATCTCTCCTTGTAAAGTGGTGAACGTTCATACCACAAGGAATTCACACCCACACACACTCGCCACACCTTCCAGGCTGTGTCACTGGCTCCTTGGTAGGCAGTCAGGAAGCCATACTCCAACTCTCTTGCGTGACATCACAGCGGAGACTGGAGCCGAAGGGCGGCTCACAGGCATGAGTCAGCCAAGAGGGACAGAGAGAGGCGGCTAAGGAATCTATGGGGTCGGACAAGGTTTATAAACACACTTTTAAAATAACTACCTTTAATAGAGTCAAGCAATTAAAAGATCCTATTAACAGCCGGGCACGGTTCATGCTTGTAATCCCAGCACTTTGGGAGGCCAAGGCAGGCGGATCACGAGGTCACGAGTTCAAGACCAGCCTGGCCAATCTGGTGAAACCCCGTCTCTATTAAAAATACAAAAATTAGCCAGGTGTGGTGGCGGGCACCTGCAGTCCCAGCTACTCGGGAGGCTGAGGCAGGAGAATCACTTGAACCCAGGAGATGGAGGTTGCAGTGAGCCGAGATTGTGCCACTGCACTACAGCCTGAGCGACAGAGCGAGACTCCTTGTCAAAAAAAAAAAAAAAAAAAAAGATCACATTAACAATTTCAACACAGAAGTTGAAACTAGAAAAAAGTACCTAAAGTGGCAGTTAAAGAAACTGTCAAACATTTCAAACTAAACATTTTAAAGGGATGTGTTTAATATAATTATACCTCAATAAAGTTGATATGTTTAAAAAATGGAAATTCTGGAATAGAAAAATATAATAGTAAAATTTAAAACTCAATGGATTTGATTAAAATCAGATTGGGAAGGCCTGTGCTTCCTCCACCTATAAAGGATGAATTCTGTAGAAATCACTTCCTTGCTATAATCAACTAGAAAACCAGACAGAATATACCGAAAAGCTGTTACCAAAAACTGGACAACAGACAGCCCAGAGCTGGGATCCCTGAGAGAAGGGAAACACTGCCCAGAAGCAGCTTCCAGGCTGCAGCACAGGAAAGGGGAACCCAAATAGAGCCCAAAGAACTTGCTGAGCTCAGGAGACAGATCAGCTATACGTAGGCCAAATGACAAGAATACAGCAAGCTCCAGAGATGAGTGGAGGGGCCCCTTGAGTATCTGTCTGAGTACTACTCTGAGCATAGGTTAAGAAAACTATGGAATACTGGGGAAAGCAGCACTAGAAAGTAATAAGCAGCACTGCCATGATGCACAGTCTGGGAAAAGCCTGTGTTTCCACAAACAAGGACAGAAAGATCTTCTCATACACCAAGCATCAGGTGGAGTCCTGAGAACAGTATTGCCTTCGTTGTATGGATAAATGAGCCCAAGAGTAAAGCCTGTGTGGATCAGCCTAACAAACCTCAGAATCAAGCTTTGAAAAGATCAAACTGACCCCATGTAACTTACATGTATGGCAGAAGAAAACTAAGGCTCTTTAAAAAAATAAAACAAAATCCTGCACAGAAGATAAAATTAATGCCTAGCATTCAATCAAAAATTAGCAGGCATACAACCATGCCCCCATAACTAGGGCAATCAATCAATAGAAATGACAGAATCAATCAACAGAGATGGATCTAGAAGTGATCAGAGATTACAGAATTCACAGACAAGGACATTAAAAGCTCTCTTACAGAAATTCTCCCTATACTAATAGAAGGAAAGCATGAATGTTATAAGGAGTGAAACAGAAGATATAAAAAGGACTCAAATGGAATCTCTAGAAATGAAAATACAAAATGGATGGATGAGATTAACAGAACTGCATAACAGTTACAACCATAATCTACAATGTCTAAGCACATGGCTATGCCATGCTCTCTCCCTTAACACTCATGCAGTCTAGGTTTAACAAATAACTGTTTCATGCCCATCATCAGTTGCAGGTTGATCTACAGTCATCCAGTTGTCTAAAGATCTTTCTCCACTCCATTCCTAAGGAAGGGCTCATGAGAACAATACTTCCTAAGTTACAGCTCACTGAGAAGTTTGTGTGTTTTTCATCTGAAAAGTCGGTTTTGCTGGAACAAAAAATGCTTTACTCACATTTTCTTTTCTTGAGTGCCTTAAACAGGATACTCAATTTCTTCTTCATAAAGAATTGTCATCTGCTGGGCTCAGTGGCTCACTGCTGTAATCCCACCACTCTGGGAGGCCAAGGCAGGTGGACTGCCTGAGCTCAGGAGTTCAAGACCAGCCTGGGCAACATGGTGAAACCCCATCTCTACTAAAAATATAAAAAATTATCTGGGTGTGGTGGTGCACACTTGTAATTCCAGCCACTTGGGAGGCTGAGGCACGAGAATGGCTTGAACCTGGGAGGTGGAGGTTGCAGTGAGCTGAGATAGTGCCACTGTACTCCAACCTGGGCAACAGAGTGAGACTCTGTCTCAAAAAAAAAAAAAAAAAAAAGGAATTGTCATCAAAGTCCTACGGCTAAACCCTTTTCCTTTTTTTTATAACAAGTATTGCTAGTCTTTTCCAAGAACCAAAGTTAAAAGTTAGTTCTTTAAAACACCAGGCCAGGCACAGTGGCTCACACATCTAATCACAGCACTTTGGGAGGCCAAGGCAGGAGGATCACTTGAATGCAGAAGTTCTAGACCAGCCTGGACAACAAAGCAAGACCCTGCCTCTACAAAAAACTTTTTTTTTTGCTGCAAAATGCTCTTAATTAACCTGACAAAATGCCACATACAGGGTTACTGCATCTTTTTTATCATGGAATTTTGAAAACAAAAATTGTTCTCTTGAGGCAGCAGTATTTGGATATTAGAGGTAAAAACCACCCTTAGAATCCAGTCCTAAAAACATCAATGAATATTCCTATATTTACAAATTCTTCTATTTCTACATGTCATCTATCAACAGGATTATGAACCTGAAAGCCTGAGAATAGAATTTATCAAGATACTCATGTTTGTACTTTTTTTATCTACTGCCCTTTTTTATTTTTTTTGAGACAGATTCTCGCTCTCTCACCAGGCTGTAGTGCAGTGGCGCGATCTCAGCTCACTACAACCTCCGCCACCTGGGTTCAAGCGATTCTCCTGCCTCAGCCTCCTAAGTAGCTGGGACTACAGGCACGTGCCACCACACCCAGCTAATTTTTGTATTTTTAGTAGAGATGGGGTTTCACCATGTTCGCCAGGATGACCTCGATCTCCTGACCTCAGCCTCCCAAACTGTTAGGATTACAGGCTAAGCCACCACACCCGGCCATCTACTGATATTTCTAAGCATGAAGTGACATTTTTTTTTTTTTGAGAAGGAGTCTTGCTGTGTTGGCCAGGCTGGAGTGCAATGGCATGATCTCGGCTCACTGCAACCTCCACCTTCTGGGTTCAAGCAGTTCTCCTGCCTCAACCTCCCAAGTAGCTGGGATTACAAGCGCACACCACCACACCTGGCTCATTTGTATTTTTAGTAGAGACAGGGTTTCACCATGGGGGCCAGGTTGGTTTTGAACTCCTGACCTCAAGTGATCCGCCCTCCTCGGCCTCCCAAAGTGCTGTGATTACAGGCGTGAGCCACCGCGCCCAGCCGAAGTGACTATTTATATACAATAAGTTTAACTGTAAAAGCTTACATTTATGCGTGGTCATTTTTAATTGATGATTAGATGAAGAGACAAATAAATGGTCCCAGTTTAGCTACTGATATACTCAACAAACCTTGACGGACCTGAGGGCATTATGCTGAGTAAAGAAAATCATTTCCGAAGGTCACATATCACTTGGTAATCTCACAGTAACAAAATTATAGAGATGAAGAACAGATCAGTGGTTGGCAGGAGTTAGAGATGGTGGCAGAAGAGAGGCAGGAGAGAGATCTTTCTGGTGATGAAACAGTTCTGCATAGGAAATTGTAGTAGTAGTTATATTTACAGACACTTGATAGAATGGCACAGAACTACGCACACACATTGTACCAACTTCAATTTCTGGGTTTTTATACTCTATTATGGTTACATAAAATGTAACCACTGGGGCAGTATGCGCAAATATACAATGACCTCTCTAGTTTCTTTACAACTTCCTGAGAGTCTATTATTATTTCAAAATAAAAAGTTTTTTTAAAAATTGCTTCATGCATATCTAGTTTCATGTGCCACTTAAAAAAGAACCCAAAAATAGAAACTGTAGGAAATTCATCTGAGTGCAGCTTATGCAAGAAGGGGCAGGATAACTCCATTCTGGACCTATGCTCAAAGACATGCACCTTTACCTTACAACAAAACTGGCGAACAGGCATGTGTTTTAAGAATAAAAAGCTTTTAAGGTCTCATATATTGGTTTTTATGATTCCTTTGCTTAACTGACTTTTTGGTTTGCTAAAAAACTACCAATCACATCAGATTAGAAGTACTTTCACGGTAAAAATAAAAAGTGATGTGACTGACACCTCTTACCTCTGTAATGTATTACTCTTCACGAGAGCAGTGAAGGAAAACATGGTGATTCAATCACTCCACACATCAAGCAGAAAAGAGTGTTGAACAGGCCAGGCGCGGTGGCTCACGCCTGTAATCCCAGCACTTTGGGAGGCCGAGGCGGGTGGATCACTTGAGGTCAGGAGTTCAAAACCAGCCTGGCCCACATGGTGGAACCCTGTCTCTACTAAAAGTACACAAAATTAGCCAGGCGTGGTGGTGGACACCTGTAGTCCCAGCTACTCGGGAGGCTGAGGCAGGAGAATGGCATGAACCCAGGAGGCTTGCAGTGAGCCAAGATGGCACCAATGCACCCCAGCCTGGGAGACAGAGTGAGACTCCGTCTCAAAAAAAAAAAAAAAAAAAAGTGTTGAACAATTAAACTGTTTATATGTAATAACCAGATATATATGCCTGGCATAAAATGAGCCCTGCATTAGAGGTTGCTGGATGTAGGGTCCTAGGCCTGACGTATCCAAATAATGTCTATGATAAAGAAGTCAATAAGTGCTCTCTATAACACACAAGCATTATAAGTTTTCACACTCCAAAAACTCTTCCTTTCTAAAGTTACTAAAACTTTTAAGGGCATTTCAAACAAAAACAGCTGTGGAAAACAGATCGGTTAAATCCTATGGCTAAGAAACATCTTCCTATCCCATGTATTATTCATTACCCAGGTGTCAATTCTGTTTCCAATACAAAAGTCTCAAGCAGTGAAGCGCTTCCCACTCCAGCTGGGAGAGCCATCCTCAACAAGATAAGGGTAAAACCTGTGAGCACAAGGCTTCCATCTGCAATTCCTGTCTGCAGGGAAGCTCCCCAAAGAGGGAAACCATGTCTTATTCCTTACGGTAAAACACCACCATTCATTCCTTGTGTTTAACAACCAATGCTGGTGGAACATAAAACAAAACTTAGCAATCACTTTTTTCATGCTACTTAGACCTGTAACACATTTTTCCTCTGGTGCACACTATCCAAAACCTAGTCGTTTCCCTTACTCCTAGGAGGAATTTAGATGACTTTTTTTTTTGGCCAGGTGCAGTGGCTCACGCCTGTAATCCCAGCAATTTGGGAGGCCGAGGCAGGCAGATCGCTTTGAGGTCAGGAGACCAGCCAGGCCAACACAGTGAAACCCCATCTCTACTAAAAATACAAAAATTAGTCGGGCATGCATGGTGGCACACACTTGTAATCCCAGCTACTCGGAAGGCTGAGGTGGGAGAATCACTTGCATTCGGGAGGCGGAAGTTGCAGTGAGCCAAGATTGCGCCACTGCACGCCAGCCTGGGCGACAGAGCAAGACTGCGTCTCAAAAAAAAAAAAAAAAGACTTTCTAATCATATTGGAAATGTGTAACAAGGACCAAGTACTGTGTATTAAACTTAATAAATCAAAACAACAGGCCCTCTAAGATATAAATGGTGCTTCACTGTATGTTTATCTGCCCAACCCATCATAGGAACTCAATTCAGCATTAAACTGGTTTTAGATCAAGACACTAGAACTCATGTTTAGCAGTTATTAAATTACAATTATTAAGAAAAAAACTTCATTACGTAAAGTCCTTTACTCCAAAAAGTTTCTCAAAATACATAAACACTAATATAAAAACGACTATTAAAACTTTGCCTGAATCTCAGGATTTCAGAAATATGAAAGTACTCATCTCTCACGTCTCCCATCCACTTAAAATGACAAAACAGATCATTATAGCTAAATCAAAGGAAATGTTTAAAGAGAAACAAACCCAAAGAGTAACTACACCAATTCTTGACCCAATTCTCTGTACTCTGTCTTATGTAACATTACACTATGAATAACAATCCCATCATCCACAACAGCTTTTTTTTTTTTTTTTGAAAAAAAAGCTCTCATTGTCCAGGCTGGAGTGCAACGGCACAATCTTGACCCATTGCAACCTCCACCTCCCGGGTTCAAGCGATTCTCCTGCCTCAGCCTCCCGAGTGGCTGGGATTACAGGCATACACCACCACGTCTGGCTAATTTTGTATTTTTAGTAGAGACGGGGTTTCACCATGTTGGTCAGACTGGTCTCCAACTCCTGACCTCAGGGCATCCACCCGCCTCGGCCTCCCAAACTGCCGGGATTACAGGCGTGAGCCACTGCGCCCAGCCACGCAACACAGCTCTAAACACTGGACTCTCATATCCACCAACACTCAATACCTGTTTAAAAAGAAAAAAAAAATTAGGAAGGGGCAATAACACTTCAGTGTAAGTATCCATGATCAACTACTGCTTAACAGCCTACACGACTTTTGATGAACAGTCAAGGCACATTACTTAATACTTAAAATGGTTAACCTTAGGGAGTAGGAAAATACAGACACACACAAAATATTTCAAACACTTCTTTTTGCTGCTGATAAGGAGTTCCAAAAGTAGTTTTTCCAAGCCATTTCCAAATAAAAGTAGATTGGGTGTAAAGAACTGTCTATCGAAATATTACCGTTATTATTTATTTAATAATGTCCTGACAAGCTTGCAATTATCTCATTAAATCAAAAAATTAGGATCTAAGGCCAACATTGTTTCCTCATATTCTTGATGTGAAAATCTGAGCACTCCTCTTAATAAGGAGTTACAAAGACAAAACAAACAGCTCAACTGAACTAACTCGTCTCTCCAGAAACACAAACACAAGACCTCATAAAATGAGTGAGTTTCTATAGGCCATAATTACTGCAACTTACTTCTCCAATTTTCCCCTCCACAGTTAACTCAACAGCTCAAAAACGATCAGTAACAAACAACAGTCACCATGATATGGTTAGGAGTGTGGCAGATTTCTTAACCAGTAATAATAAATAGGAAAAAAATTTTCTCTATTAATAGATCTCAAGTTTCGTGCACTTGCAAGAAACTAATTAAAAGGCAGCCGCGCACGATCTACAAAAACAGCCATAAGACTGTTACATTTTAAGTTACAGGAAATAAACCTGCTCCTCTAATTCAGCAAGATACAACTGACTTCCCCTTACATACCCTAAAAAAAAGCCTTACACGAGAAATTTAAACATGGAAGCAGAAACACACCAAGAAAAAGACATGTCAAACCCCACCTGTATATCTGTTTTCAACCATTTGGAGTCGAGGCGAGCCTGGGCAGCCAAACAGAAAGATTCAGAGGGCATCTTTTCTCCAGCTTCCTCCCAGGTCTCAGGCCTGCAAGTAAACACATACGCTGAAGACCTAATGCTTTTTAATAGTTTACAAAGACACTCCCGAAAGGTTCAATGCACAAAAGAAAAAAGAGAGAGAGAACAGAAAGGGGGGAGAGAAGAGCTGGTGGAGGGGAGAGAAGGGGAGAGAGGGAAAGAGGGAAGAGATGGAGGGAGAGGGAGGTGGGGAAGGGAAAGCCTCCTTCCAAGGTAGGCAGGGTGTGCCGAGTTTCTGCACCACGCTGACGAGACCTTGAGAATGGACGGTCACAGGAAGCCAAGTCACAATGTCATCCCCCTGCCCTCAAATCCAAGAAGTACACACACATAACACACATCGTTTTAACGACAAATGACAGCAGCATGAATCTGCCGCTTTACCCCACAGCAGGGCGCGTGCGTGAAACAAATTACTCAAAAGGATCGCCTGCAGAAAAACCCACAGCCACCACCACTTAAGAGATGGAGAGAGGCCCGAGGCTGCCCCGCGGGTGGTCCGCGCAGGCCCCGGTGCGGCCGCCGCGCCCACGCCCGCCTCCCGGGCTCGGCCGCCCGCCAGCCCCGCGCCCGTACCGCCCCCGCCACCGGCCGCCCAGGTGCCCCAGGCCAGGACCTGACGCGCAGGGCCCGGCCGCCTCGCCTCGCCGGCGCGCGGACGCAGCCTCCCAAGAGCCGCTGGCTCAGCCGGCGCCCGCGATCCCGGCGCCTCTCGCGGCCCGAGGGGCGGGCCGACGCGGGACTGCCGCCCCCCGCGTACGGCCAATCGCAACGAGGCTGCTCCGTGGGCGCAGCCAATGGGGAAGAGGAGCCCTTCGCCGCTCCTCCCGACTCTCCCGCTTCCAGCAATCCCGCTTATCTTCCTACTTGGAGCGCCCTGGCTGCGGCCAAGGCCAACAGCGGGCGCCGGAAGGCGGGATTTCCGCCGCACGCACGCACTCCCGCACTCCCACGGGAGACTGCTTGGCCCGGAGCGCTCTTGATCACGCCGCGGCGGGTGGTGGCGCTCACACTAACTATAGCTATCCAGGGCGCGGGTCGAGTGGCGAGACCAGCTCCCCTGGGTATGAGAACGCATCTTTGTGCGGTCGGCTGGCTGGGGCCTGAAGAGCTTCCTCCTGTGTGTTCAACTGAACGCAGCAAAAGTCTTGGGCAGATTCCATGGAGCAGCTGTGGAAGCACTGTGCAGGGAATCGAAGAAGGAAACACCTCCGGCGACCACAAAACAAAATTGAAGAACTATAAAACAATATAGGCCGGGCGTGGTGGCTCACGTATGTAATTCTCAGCGCTTTGGGAGGCCGAAGCGGGAGGATCCCTCGAAGCCAGGAGTTGGAGGATCCCATGTTGCCAGACTGGGCAACATAGCAAGACCCCATCTCTAAAAAATAAAAATAAAAAAATTTAACAATTAGCCAGGTGTGGTGGCACACACCTGTGATCCCAGCTGCTCGGGAGGCTGAGACAGGAGAATCGCCTGAGCCTGGGAGATCAATGCTACAGTGAGCTTAGATCGTGCCACTGCACTCCAGCCTGGGCGACAGAGTGAGATCCTGCCTCTAAGAAAGAAAAATAACGGCCGGGCGTGGTGGCTCAGGCCTGTAATCCCAGCACTTTGGGAGGCCAGAGCAGGTGGATCATCTGAGGTCAGGAGTTCAAAACCAGCCTGGCCAACATGATGAGACCCCTTCTCTACTGAAAATACAAAGATTAGCCAGGTGTGGTGGCACGTGACTGTAATCCCAGCTACTCGGGAGGCCGAGGCAGGAGAATCGCTTGAACCCGGGAGGCGGAGGTTGCAGTGAGCCGACATTGCACCACTGCACTCCAGCCTGGGGGACAGAGGCTGCACCACTGCAGCCTTGACTTACCGGGTTCAGGTGGTTCTCCACCTCAGCCTTGCCACTAGCTGGGACTGCAGGCACATGGAACCACACCTGGCTAATTTTTGTAGTTTTTGTAGACGGGATTTTGCCATGTTGCCCAGGCTGGTCTCGAACTCCTGGGCTCAAGTGATCCGCCCGCCTCAGTCTCCCAAAGTGCTAGGATTACAGGTGTGAGTCACTGCACTCGGCTAATAGTAATGAACTTTGAACAGAAGGAAAGTTGTTATTATTTTCTTGGTTATGTTCTATCTATATTTTCTAATTTTTCTAAACATGTAAAGATAAAATTCTAAAAACTCAGACCTCAGAACAAAAAAATTAGAGTATAAATATTTATTTTAGTTAACTTGTACAAATTTGGTTTCTGGAAAAAGAATGGAATAGATTTTCTGAGAAAAAAAATCCACCACTTTGGCCGGGCGCAGTGGTTTACGCGTGTAATGCCTGCACTTTGGGAGGCTGAGGCGGTGGATCACCTGAGGTGAGGAGTTCAAGACCAGCCTGACCGACATGAAGAAACCCCTGTCTCTACTAAAAATACAAAAATTAGTCAGGCCTGGTGGCACGCACCTGTAATCCCAGCTACTCAGGAGGCTGAGGCTGGAGAATCGCTTGAACCCAGGAGGCAGAGGTTGCAGTGAGCTGAGATCGCACCATAGCGCTCCAGCCTGGGTGACAAAAGGAAAACTCTGTCTCAAAAAGAAAGAAAGAAAAGCAGACTGGCTGAAAGGATTGAAGAACAAAATATGATCCACCAATGTGCTATCTACAAGATAAACATTTTAAATACAGAAACAGATTGAAAGTAAAGGGATACAAAGATACAATTAAAATAGTAACCAAAAAAGAGCTGAAGGGGCTGTACTAATATCAAATGTAATACACTTTAAATTAAAGCAGGGCTGGGCATGGTAGCTCAGGCCTGCAATCCCAGCACTTTGGGAGGTGGAGGCAGAGAGACACTTGAGCCCAGAAGTTCGAGATCAGCCTGAGCAACATGGCATAATCCCATCTCTACAAAAAATACAAAAATTAGGCGGGCATGGTGGTACCCACCTGTGGTCCCAGCTATTTGGGAGGCTGAGGTGGGAGGATCATGTGAGCTGGGGAAGTTGAGGCCGCAGTGAGCTAAGATCGGGCCCCTGCACTCCACCCTGGGCAACAGAGCGAGACCCTGTCTGAAAATAAAAAAAAATAAAAAACGGGGTTGAGAGACAAAAAAGGACATCCTTTTTTTTATTATTGTATTTTGAGATGGAGTTTCGCTCGTTGCCCAGGCTGGAGTGCAATCGTGTGATCTTGGCTCACTGCAACCTCCGCCTCCCGGGTTCAAGTGATTGTCGTGCCTCAGGCTCCCGAGTAGCTGGCATTACATGTGCCTGCCATCACGCCCAGCTAATTTTTGTATTTTGGTACAGACGGGGTTTCACCATGTTGGCCAGGGTGGTCTCCAACTACTGACCTCAGGTGATCCACCTGCCTTGGCCTCCCAAAATGCTGGGACTACAGACATGAGCCACCGCGCCAGCCGAAACCTTCATTTTAAAAAAGGCTGGGTCAGGCATCATGCCTCATGCCTGTAATCCCAGCACTTTGAGAGGGCAACGCAGGCGGATCACCTGACGTCAGGAGTTCGAGACCAGACTGACCAACATGGTGAAACCCCGTCTCTACCAAAAATATAAAAATTAGCCGGGTGTGGTGGCACACACCTGTAATCCCAGCTACTCAGGAGGCTGAGGCAGGAGAATTGCTTGAATCTGGGAGGTGGAGTTTGCAGTGAGCCGAGATTGTGCTGCCACACTGCAGCCAGGGTGACAGAGTGAGACGCCATCTCAAAAAATAAATAAAGGCTGGGTGCCAGATGTGGTGCATAGGCCTAGTTTGTTGACTCCTGTACTTAACATATAAAACTCTAAAGAACAGTGGGAAGGAGCTTCCCTCTAGAGGCACAGGACCGGCCAAGTTGGTCCCTGAGCAGTGACTTTATAATAACATGTTACACTGTGTTTTTTGTTTTTGTTTTGTTTTTTGTTTGTTTGAGACGGAGTTTCGCTCTTGTTGCCCAGGCTGGAGTACAATGGCGTGATCTCAGCTCAAAACAACCTCTACCTCCCAGATTCAAGCGATTCTCCTGCCTCAGCCTCCAAAGTAGCTGGGATTTCAGTCATGCAACACCATGCCCGGCTAATTTTGTACTTTTAGTAGGGATGGGGTTTCTCCATGTTGGTCAGGCTGGTCTCGAACTCCTGACCTCAAGGGATCTGCCCGCCTCGGCCTCCCAAAGTGCTGGGATTACAGGCGTGAGCCACCACACCCGGCCTATATTTTTTTTCTTTTTTTTTAGACACAGTCTGACTCCGTTGCCCAGGCTGGAGTGCAGTAGCGCGATCTTGGTTCACTGTAACTTCTGCCTCCCAGGTTCAAGCGATTCTCCTGCCTCAGCCTCCCAAGTAGCTGGGATTACAGGCATGCACCACCACATCCGACTAATTTTTGTATTTTTAGTAGAGATGGGGTTTCACCATGTTGGCCAGGCTGGTCTCAAACTCCTCACCTCAAGTAATCCGCCCGCCTCGGCCTCCCAAAGTGCTGGGATTACAAGGCGTGACCCACCGGGCCTGGCCCTGTGTGTTGTTTTATGTATGTTTCTATATGTGTTATATTTCACAATAAACTAAATATTAAAACAAAGAATAACTGATAGCTATGCACAAAGGTATTTAAATTTCACCCTCACAGATAATTTTTTTTTTTTTGAGACAGGATCTCACTCTGTTACCCAGGCTGGAGTGCAGTGGCACCACCTTGGTTCACTGCAGCCTTGACCTCCCAGGCCCAAGCGATCCTTCTACCTCAGCCTCCTGAGTAGCTGGGACTACAGGCACACTCCACCACACCCACCTAATTTTTGTATTTTTGGTAAAGATGGGGTTTCACCATGTTGGCCAGGCTGGTCTCGAACTTCTGGGATCAAGGAATCCTCCAACCTTGGCTTTCCAAAGTGCTGGTATTACAGGCGTGAGCCACTGTACCCGGCCAAGAATAGTTTCTTCTCCTTACCTAGGTAGAGACCTCTGCAGAAATGCTGGGAGATCTTTGGAGAGGGGAGATTTTTTAAATAAAAAATTTAATACTTGGAGGGGCGTGGTGGCTTACCCCTGTAATCCCAGCACTTTGGGAGGCCAAGGCGGACAGATCAGGAAGTCAGGAGATTGAGACCACCCTGGCTAACACGGTGAAACCCCATCTCTACTAAAAAAAAATACAAAAAATTAGCTGGGCATCGTGGCGGGCGCCTGTAGTCCCAGCTACTCGGGAGGCTGAGTCAGGAGACTGGCGTGAACCTGGGAGGCGGAGCTTGCAGTGAGCCGACATCGGGCCACTGCACTCCAGCCTGGGCGACACAGCAAGACTTCGTCTCAAAAAAAAAAAAAAATTAATACTTTGGGATGCCAAGGCAGGTGGATCACGAGGTCAGGAGTTCAAGAACTGCCTGGCCAAGATGGTGAAACCCCGTAAAAATACAAAAATTTGCCGGGCTTGGTGGCAGGTGCCTGTAATCCCAGCTATTCAGGAGGCTGAGGCAGGAGAATTGCTTGAACCTGGGTGGCAGAGGTTGCAGTGAGCCAAGATAGCACCACTGCACTCCAGCCTGGGCAATAAGAGTCAGACTCTGTCTAAAAAAAAAAAAAAAAAAAAAACTGATCTAGTTCAAAACCTCACTTTGAATCCACCCACATTGCTCTAAAATACTTTCATCTTTCCTGTGGCTAAAACCTTAAAGCCTTGCCAGTAACTCCCATTGCACTTAAGGAAATCCAATCTCCCTTGTTGTGGCCCCTGAACAGGCTGCTGCTGGCCCACCACGGTGCCTCTAGTTTGTGTAAAATGCATATGTTAATTTATAATATATGAGGCTTTTTTAGCTCTAAAAGGCTATTATTCACTAGTTGCTGTGTGAATCAGTATTTCTGGGTGCAGTTAGAAATTATTAGAGTTGATGCCCAAGACTCATCTCCATCAGCACGGGGGAGGCATCTGCTCGTTTTATGGTCAGTGACTCTGGGCCTCCTGCTGGGCTAAGTCCTGAGGTGGGTCTGACTCAGGTCAGAGCTGTGCACCCCGGCCCTCCTCCTCAACGTGCATGAGTGCTCTTTAGGATGGAGCTGAACACTGGCTTCTCAAAACCACTTGGCCCCATCACAGGCCCTGAGAACTGATTGGGTCACTCTGGTGGGCTCCCCAGCCCTAGCCAAGAAGGGTTTCTCTAGGGAGCCTGGCCCCCCACTTATGAGACCTGGAGCCCCAAAGATCCTGACCAGGGGCCTGCCTCCTCCAGGGAGGGGCCACTCGCCCCCACCAAGCTCCCTTCACAGAGACCCATCCAACAGAGCTGAGGAAAACCATGCCTCATAAATGAATAAATACATAAATAAGAATGCCGGGGACCTGTGGATTTTGTAATTCCTGAAAGAAGGCAGAGTGGCTGGCTCACAGCAAGCGCAGTAGGAGATACTGCTCCCCGGCCAGGCTGTTCTCTGTCTCTTTGGAGGGAGCCCTAGGGTACAAGAAAAGCCAGAGGAGACCAGCTGGCCCAGAAGGTGCCTCTCCACCCCTTCCCCAGAGTTTCTGGGAAACAAAGCCCACCCGAGGGACACATGCCTTCTTGGGAGTTGTACCAGGCCTCCTTCCTCATCCAGCCATGCAGTGGTTTTCAGTGCCCGAAACAGATGAATAAAATAGGCCCTTTACGGGATGTTCTTCAGGAACATGCACACTTCTTTGGATCTTACCATCGTTTTATCTCTATTTAAAGTTAAATGCTGTGTTATACAGAGTATTGGTAAAGATGTAGAGCTACAAGAACTGTCAAGCTGGCAGTAGCATAAAATTGTATAAGCACATTGGAAACCTGTTTGGCAGCTTCTACTAAAGCTATATCTATGCCTACCTTCAGAAATTCCATCCTAAGCATGTACACAAGAGAAACGAGTGCATATGTCCACAAAAAGACTTATATAAGAATGTTCACTGCCATTTTTATTCATAAGAGCCCCAAATGAAAACAACCTAAATGTCCATCAACAGGAGAGTGAATAAATGGTGATACAGTCACATCATGGAATACTACACAGCCAAAAAAGAAAAATGAAGTGGTAGGAACACTCAACGACATGGGTGAATAGAGGGAGCCAGGTATGAGAGACAGTGCACAGTACCAGCCCACCTAGATGAAGCGCAGGAAGGCAGAACTGACGATGATTGAAGTCAGAAGAGTAGTTTCCTTTGTGGGAAAGTGTAGGTCAGGAAGGAGCCTTCTGGGGTACTACAAATCTGCCGTATTTTGGCTGGGTGCAACAGCTCACACCAGCACTTCGGGAGGCATAGGCGAGAGGGTCACTTGAGCCCAGGAGTTAGAGACCAGCTTGGGCAACACAGCGAGATCCCATCTCTACAAAAAAATTAAAAATTAGCGTGGCATGCTGGTGTGCACCTGTAGTCTCAGCTACTCAGGAGGCTGAGGCAGGAGGATTGCTTGAGCTTAAGAGTTTGAGGTTGCAGTGAGCTCCCAAAGTGCTGGGATTACAGGTGTGAGACACTATACCAGCCTGATTTTTAAATACTGACCAAGCCTTGTGTTACTGGGATAGGCATCACTTGGCCACGATTTACTACTCTCTTTCTTTTTTTTTTTTTTTTTTTTGAGACAGAATTTCACTCTGTCACCCAGGCTGGAGTGCATTAGTGCAATCTCAGCTCTCTGCAACCTCTGCCTCCTGGGTTCAAGCAATTCTCCTGCCTCAGCTTCCTGAGTAGCTGGGATTACAGGTGTGCACCACCACACCTGGCTAATTTTGTTTGTTTGTTGTTTGTTTTTAGTAGAGATGGGGTTTCACCATGTTGGCCAGCCTGGTCTCCAACTCCTGACCTCAAGTGATCCACCCTCCTTGGCATCCCAATATTCCTATGATTACAGGCGTGAGCCACTGCGCCCGGCCCTATTCTGTTTCTATATTGCTAAATTTGACTTGCTAACACGTTTTTGAGGATTTTTCTGTTGATGCTCATCAGGGATGTTGGTTTGCAGTTTTCTTTCTTTGTATTATACTATCTTGTCTGGCTTTCTGTCAGGGGAAAGCTGACCTTATACAAAGTATTGGCATGTGTTCCCTCCTTTTCCATTTTCTCTAAGGGATTGTGTAGAATTAGTGTTATTTCTTCTTTAAATGTTTTTGAATCCATCTGAACCTGGAGATTTCTTTCTAAAAGATTTTACGCCGGGCACGGTGGCTCGTGCCTATAATCCCAGCACGTTGGGAGGCTGAGGCAGGTGGATCACCTGAGGTCAGGAGTTTGAGACCAGCCTGGCTAACATGGTGAAACCCCGTTTCTACTAAAAATACAAAAAATTAGTCGAGCTTGGTGGCGTGCGCCTGTAATCCCAGCTACTCAGGAGGCTAAGGCAGGAGAATCACTTGAACCTGGGAGGCAGAGATTGCAGAGAGCTGAGATTGCACCAATGCACTCCAGCCTGGGTGACAGAGTGAGACTCCGGCTCAAAAAAAAAAAAAAAATTTTTACAAATTCAATTTATTTAACAGATACAGAACTATTCAGGTAACCTGTTTGTTTCTAGGAGGATTTTCCTGGTTTGTGGCACTCGGACATTGCTTTATTTCATCTAAGTTGTCTGATTTTTAAGTGTCAAGTTTTCCTTAGTGTTCTCTTGCTAACCGTCTGAAGTCTGTGGGGCCTGCAGTGATGTCCCTTCATTCATTCCTGATACTGATAATTTGTATCTTTTCTGTTTTTTTCTTTGTCAGTTTTCCTAGAGTTTTTCAATTTTGTTGATCTTTTCAAAGAATGATCTTTAAGTTTCATTAATTTTTCCCTTCTTTTTTTGCTTTCAATCTCATTAGTTTCTGCTTTTATCTTGGCATTTGTTCCTTTGGCTTGTTTTGCGTTCACTTTGCTCTTTTTCTGGTTTCTTAAGGTGGAAACTTAGATTGCTGATTTAGACCTATCTTTTCTGTAATATATAATGATTTGATGCTATAAATTTTCCTCTAAGCAGTGCTTTAATTAAACCCACAAATTTTGGTGCATTTTCATTTATGTTCAAAATATTTTCTAATTTCTTTTGAGAATTGTTCTTTGACCCATGGATGATGATGATGATTATTATTATTATTATTTTTCTTCAATACGGAGTTTCACTGTTGTTGCCCAGGCTGGAGTGCAATGACATGATCTCGGCTCACTGCAACCTCTGTCTCCTGGGTTCAAGCGATTCTCCTGCCTCAGCCTCCTGATTAGCTGGGACTACGGGCACCCGCCACCATGCCCGGCTAATTGTTTTGTATTTTCAGTAGAGATGGGGTTTCTCCATGTTGGCCAGGCTGATCTTCAACTCCTGGCCTCAGGTGATCCCCCCAACTTGGCCTCCCACAGTGTTGGGATTACACGCGTGAGCCAGTGCGCCCGGCCTGACCCATGGATTATTAAGTATGTTGTTTTATTTTGAAGTGTTTGCAGATTGTTTTGTTAATGATTTCTAGTTTAATACCATTGTGATTGGAGAACAAACTGCATATGATTTCATTTCTTTTAAATTTGTTAAGATTTATGTGTCAGGTTATGTTCTCAGTGAACATTCTGTATGTGCTTAAAAAGTATATGTATGGTCTGTATATGTATGGTCTGTATATACATATATGTATACATATATGTGTAAAAAGTATATGTATGGTCTGTATGTGCTTAAAAAGTATATGTATGGTCCAGCACTTTGGGAGGCCAAGGCAGGCAGATCACAAGGTCAGGAGATCGAGACCATCCTGGCTAACAGGGTGAAACTCCGTCTCTACTAAAAATACAAAAAAAATTACCCGGGCATGATGGCGGGCGCCTGTAGTCCCAGCTACTTGGGAGGCTGAGGCAGGAGACTGGCTTGAGCCTGGGAAGCAGAGCTTGCAGTGAACTGAGATCGTGCGACTGCACTCCAGCCTGGGCGACAGAGCTAGACTCCATCTCAAAAAAAATAAAATTTAAAAAAAGTATATGTAAAGTGTATGTATGGCCGGGCACGGTGGCTCACGCCTGTAATCCCAGCACTTTGGGAGGCCAAGGCAGGTGGATCACGAGGTCAGGAGATCAAGACCATCCTGGCTGACATGGTGAAACCCCATCTCCACTAAAAATAAAAATTAAAAAAATAATAATAATTAGCCAGGCGTGGTGGTGAGCACCTGTAGTCCCAGCTACTCAGGAGGCTGAGGTAGGAGAATGGCGTGAACCCAGGAGGCACAGCTTGCAGTGGGCTGAGATCCCGCCACTGCACTCTAGCCTGGGCGACAGAGCGAGACTCTGTCTCAAAAAAAAAAAAAAAAAGTATATGTATTTTGCTGTTGTTGGGTGAAGTGTTCTATAAATTAGATCCAGTTTATTGAAGGTGTTCTACAGTTCTCCTAGATTTTTGCCGATTACTTGTTCTCTCACTATGAAAGGTATTGTGTGTGTTATATGTGTCTAACAATTCATTTTCTAGTTAGAGTTGCTATTATACCACTTCAAGTGGATGGAGAGCCTCACTGCCATCCATTAATGTGCATTAATCATTTTGAGAGTGAAAAGATTTTTTAAAATGTTTTTACTTTTTTAGGTATGGCCAAGTGAGATGGGGCTAGTGAAATGGGTGGGAGAATTGGAAGCTGATAGTGTGTGAGCTAGACACCCATGAATGCTTTTCCACTGGGCAGTTAGAGGGATGATAGGTAATAATATAAGGCAGCTCCATCACACAAGCTGGTGACTCCTGTGCGACAGACCAAGAGCTGCATTTGGAGATTCATTTCCGATTGTTGCGTTTCCTCTTAGAGCATTGCTTGGTCATCGTGTTCTGAGTGGTCCATTGGCCTCCATGTCCCTTTTGGGGTGGATATTTGCTCAGTGACTTTTGAGCAGCTGGATCTCCTGCTTCGGCAGGTGAGTGAGGGGATGGATGGCTCCGCGGACTGGCCCCCGCCCCAGGAGAAAGAGTGCGTGGCCGTGGCAACGCTGAATCTTCCCCGACTTCAGGTATTCGTGATTTCCCTTCCTCTTGCTCCTTTTATAAGTGTCTTAGCGATTTGTAAGAAGGTTTATGTATTCTGAAGGACATAGGTTTTAGCCTGTTGGGGGAAGTATTTTAAAGTAAGATTGTAATGCACTAATAATGGACGCAAGGCTTAAAAAACTTGATCTGTTTATTTTATGTTTGTCCTGGAAGTCAGCCTCGGCATGCAGGAAGAGTGTATATGGATTGTGTTATTTTTGCTATAATCATTAGTTTGTTGGTATTCTTACTGTTTTACTGTTGTTGCGTGTGGAGAAATGACTGGGTGAGATCACAGGTGATGGAGAGAGACAGAGCTCAGCTGAGAGACCAGTGCTGGCCTGTCTCTCCTCTGTCCTGTGAAAACCCTGCTCCAGGAGGGTCCAGTCTTTTGGTTTCCCTGGGCCACACTGGAAGAAGAATTGTCTTGGGCTACACATAAAATACACTTATGATAGCTGATGAGCTTAAAAAAAAAATCCCAAAAATATCTCATGATGTTTTAAGAAATTTTACTTTGGGCCACATTCAAAGCTGCCCTGGGCCACATGCTGCCCTCGGGCCGTGGGTTGAACAAGCTTGATCTACTCAGTAAGCTCGGCTCCCAAAGCAATACCTTCCTTTCCTCACCATGAAGGCTGTGGTTAGGGTCACAATAAAAGCTACAAAAGCCTTCCTCCCTAGCAAAACTAAAGCTGAAGTGTTTGATCATCATCTTTTGTCTTTGTAATAAAACCCTCTAACTTAATGACAAGAACCACGGTTTTCTCGACATAGTAATTTTTCCCTTTTATTACAGTGGTTTCTTGTAACAACCCGTCATGTCCCTCTTCCAGCCCCTCCCCTTTTTGCCCTGCTTCTAGAATGTACAGAACTGAGTGTAGTGTTTAGTTGCAGTAATGAACTGAGCAGAGGTCTGGAGCATGCTTCTCCTCTAGTCCTCTGTAGCACTCATTTATCACCATACCTGTGGCATCCTGGCGTTTGCGTGGTTGCGCCCCAGGTGTTTGCTGCCCCTCCTGGTTTGCGGTGATGTGTCTGTTCTGGTCAGTGCTGTGGGGCGTGGCCTTGCGTATGTCTTAGGCTGTCGAGGTGTCCCAGCGTATGGTTTTGCATTTGCCTCTCCGGGGTCCTGAGGGTTCTGTAGGTTTCACAGACTCCAGGTGAGTTTCGGTGGTCATTTCCTGACCTGTGATATCTATACCTAGATGAGTGGTGTGCTTTTGATTTCACTTCTACTTACAGGGCAAGGCCGGGTCTCTGATTTCTCATGGGGCCTCTTGCTACCCAGAGCCTGGGACGGGCAGTGTGTTGCCCCCTGGCTGCGGTTGGCTGGCAGGCAGGTGATCCTGAGTGGCTCCCAGCCTTCTGCAGGAAGCTCGGGTTCAGTGGGTCCTTGTGTGCATTCCCGTGTGGGAGGTTGTGCTGAAGCCTGGCGGCTTGGCTCTGCTTTCAGAGCCCGGAACCTCTTGACTCCTGCTGTGTGTGCCCATGTGAATTTTGGTTTTGCACTTGAGGAGTTTCCCTGTGTACTCTCAGCTCCGCAGTCTAATTTTTAGCAGCTCTTTTTTTTTTTTAGACAGGGTGTCACTTTGTCACCCAGGCTGGAATGCAGTGGTACAGTCTTGGCCTGCCAGGTTCCAGTGATTCTCCTGCCTCAGCCTCCCAAGTAGCTGGGACTACAGGTGTGTACCATCACACCCGGCTGATTTTTTTATAGAGATGGGGTTTCATCATGTTGGCCAGGCTGATCTTGAACTCCTGATCTCAAGTGAGCTTTCCACGTCGGCCTCCCAAAGTGCTGGGATGACAGGCATGAGCCACCGCCTGTGGCAGCTTTTGTGGTTACATTGTAGCCATTATTTCTGTGTTTGGTGCAGATTGTTGGGGCGGGGTGGAGGTTGCTGTTGCTAGTTGTTTAGCTCTTCTGCTCATCTTGAGCTTTTCCATATATGTGTTCATAGTGGGGTTAAAAAAAATTCCTCTAGAAAATACTTCAACTATTGTGGGTAAGAGTTTTTTTAGTCCAGTTTTTAAAAATACGTAAACTGAGAAGTTATTTTGTCTATTTAAATAATACTTCAAATTGACTTTTATTCAGTGTTTAATAAGACTTTGAAATTCACTCATTTTTAGGGGTTCTAAGTGAAAATTGTTTTTCTCCTTTCAGTTGCATGCTGCCATTAGTCACCAGGTTGACCTGGAATTCCTTGGTTTAGGTCTGGGCAGCGTCTTCCTGAACAGCCTGAAGCAGAAGGTGGTGACCCTGGCAAGCAGCGCAGACGTGCTGAGCACCGTGCAGTCGGCCTCCCAGGCCATGCTGCAGAGCGGCTGGTCCATGCTGTTGCCCACCGCTGAGAAGCAGGCCCGGGCACTCTGCTCTCCTGTCCTGTGGAGGTGGGCTCGGGGAAGGAACAGGAGAGGGCATGGGTCAGGGTGCTGGGAGGGGATGGCGTTTCACTCAAATTGGCACAGACTTTCTATTTCAGTTTCAGGCAATGAAGTGAACATAAGTCCAGGTCATCGATTGGTGATTGATCTTCTGGTGGGCAGCTTGATGGCTGATGGAGGGTTGGAGTCAGCCTTACACGCAGCCATTACTGCAGAGATCCAGGTATGGCCTTGGAGGCACACGTGACCTGGTGGTGGGCTGAGATCGGAAATACCACACTCACACATGTGAAGAATAACTGAAAACAGTAAAACACTAAACTTATATCCAAGTATTTTTTTAAATTAAAATTCTTTTATGTGCTAATTTTAAAAATTATTGAGATGATTTGTGATAAAATACTGCATGTTGTCTGTTTCAGTGAAGTTAACAGGTAACCTGTTCCTCATGTAGACCATTCCCGTCACCCGGAAAGATCCCTGTGCTCCTTGGCACTTGCAGCCAGGATACTCCCCTGCCCTGAGATTAGATTCATTTTTCCTGCTCTGAGTGTCGCAGCAATATAACTGTATAGTATGCACTCTTTCCTGCTTTGCCTTGGAGAATGATTTTCAGATTCACTCACTGTTGTGTGTATTGCGACTTCGTTTTTATTATTGGGAAGTTTTCCATTTTATAGGTGTAGTACTGTTTGTTAGTTCATTCTCCTATTGAAGGACATGTAATTGTTTTTGGTTTTTGTTTTCTTTTTTTTTTTTTTTTTTTGAGACAGGGTCTTGCTCTGTCACCCAGGCTGTATACAGTGACCTGATGTTGGCTCACTGCAGCCTTGTCCTCCTAGGCTCAAATGATCCTCCCACCTCAGCCTCCTGTGTTGCAGGGACCACATACATGTCACCATGCCCGGCTAGTTTTTTGATTTTTTTGTAGAGACAAGGTTTCACTGTGTTGCAAGGCTGGTCTTCAACTCCTGGGCTCCAGTGATCCCCCCACCTTGGCCTCCCAAAGTGTTGGGATTACAAGCGTGAGCCACCGCGCCCAGGCTTTCTGGTTTTTGGCCGTGTAGAGCTGCCACAATTGTGCTGTGAACAAGTACTTTAGTGAACATATGTTCTCCCTTTGGATAAACACTTGGAGTGGAATTTGTTAGGTCCTGGGGTAAGTGTGTGTTCATAGTTTCCCAAAGTGGCTTTGCCATTTGCATTTGAACCAGGACTTTTGTGTGTGAGAATTCTAGCTCCTTCTTGTCCTTACAGAGCAGCTGGATGCTGCGTGTGTGGAGCCGATCACATTGGGTTTTGTGTGAGCCATTAGCAGGGTTAAGGATTTTAGGGACTTCACAGAAGGAGGCTGGAGAGCATCAGCAGAGGCAGCCTGGACCTTGGATCTGTAAAAAGAAGACACTGTTTGAAACTGCACAAATGAGTTGGGGTTTCCAACAGGGCAGGTGGGGGGCCTGTGGGTGGATGGGTGTGGCAGCCACAGAGGCTGGGATAGCTTGGCACTGGGGTCAGGGCTCAGCCAGCCTGTGTGCCTTCACACCTGGTAATGAGATCACTTGTAAACAATTTCTGTTTATCAATTACAGGATACAAAAAAAGAAGCACGGAAGGAAAAAGAAATTTATGAACAGGAAGCAAATGCCTCAACATTTCATAGAAGGAGGACTCCATTGGATAAAGACCTTATTAATACGGGGATCTGTGAGTCTTCTGGCAAACAGTGTTTGCCTCTGGTTCAGCTCATACAACAGCTTCTTAGGTAAATCATATTAGCTGTATTGTATTGTGTTTTATTTATTTACTTTTTTTTTTTTGAGACAGAGTTTCGCTCTTGTTGCCCAGGCCGGAGTGCAGTGGTGCGATCTTGACTCACTGCAACCTCCGCCTCCCAGGTTCAAGTAATTCCTCTGCCTCAGCCTCTCGAGCAGCTGGGATTACAGGCATGCGCCACCATGCCCCACTAATTTTGTAGTTTTATTAGAGACAGGGTTTCTTCATGTTGGTCAGGCCGGTCTTGAACTCCCGACCTCAGGTGGTCCATCCACTTTGGCCTCCCAAAATGTTGGGATTACAGGCATTAGCCACCACGCCTGGCCTATTTATTTACTTATTAATGGTGTTTTTTGTTTTTTGTTTTTTTTTTGAGATGGAGTCTTGCTCTATCGTCCAGGCTGGAGTGCAGTGTCACGATCTTGGCTCACTGCAACCCCCGCCTCCTGGGTTCAAGCTATTCTCCTGCCTCAGCCTCCCGAGTAGCTGGGACTACAGGCGTCTGCAACCACACCTGGCTGATTTGTGTATTTTTAGTAGAGATGGGGTTTTACCATATTGGTCAGGCTGGTCTCAAATTCCTGACGTCAGGTGACCCACCTGCCTTGGCCTCTCAAAATGTTGGGATTACAGGTGTTAGCCACTGTTCCCGGCCTGTATTGTATTTTAATAGGTGATTATTGGTTTTCATATTAAGATAGTGAAATCTAGCGCAAGGGTCTCAAAAATTTGTTTGATGATTGAAGGAATATTCTGAAAATTACCTAGTATAGATGTTAGGATAAAGAGCAGACCCTTCTCAATATAGGTGAGAGGAGAAGTTGGAGGGTGTGATGATACTCAGAAGTTTTTCACAGAAGAGAAATTGGGGCGTGCAGTAAACATGTAAAAAGATTCTTACTAATAAGCAGGTAGGTGCGAATGAAAATCATCATGGAAGGTTATTTTTAAAACTGGTTCTATCATTGCCTCACTTTACACATTACAGAGTTGTACCTACTACTTTGTAAGATAACTTTTCTTTTCAAAACTGAAGTCAATGTGATAGAATGGTGAGCATTATTTTGGAAGGCCAGACTAGGAGGAGGTGGGAGGAGGAAGTCAGACTCAGCCTGTGAACAGACGCTAACCTTGGCAGAAGCCAAAACAGTCAGACAGTGTTGTGTAAAAATGATCATTCAAGAAGAGCGAAACAGCAAGGTGATTTGTGAAAGAGATTTATTAGAAAATGAAACACATTTATACCTCTGTTCAATAAAAATCTGCTTTTCGTCAACTGATGCTCCTGGTTTTTGTTTCTACACATAGAGAAAGCAGAGCCCTGGCAGCTTGGGTCAGGCAGCCGAGTACAGACCAGGGAGCCCTGGGCAGTGGCTGCAGCTCTCAGCTGGCCTGTTCATGGGGCCATGGTGGGTCTGTGGCGTGGGGTGGGCCCGTGGCGTGGGGTGGGCCCGCGGCGTGGGGTGGGCCCGCGGCGTGGGGTGGGCCCGCGGCATGGGGTGGGCCTGCTGTCCACAGCCAGCAAAACTAACTTAGTGCACACACAGTGAAATTTTGAAACAGGAAGTTTTAGAGCTAGTTTCTGTCATAGATTTTAGTAAATGCTATTTTGCAAAACCTTTTTCTGATGTTTGTTTTGTTTTTCTAATCTGATAATGCATATTTCACACATTCTGGTCTTTAACAAATGGAAATAAAGAGAACTAAACAATATAGTTTGTGTCGATGGAAAGAGCTTGGGATTTGTTCTCAGAAAATTTCAGTTACAACAGTTTGTTCATATAGGTGGACTTCCAACACAGTAACTATAGGAGTAAGAATAAAAGCTGTGTTTACTTTCACAGAGTTAATTAAGAATACATGAGAAAATGGATGTTAAAAACCTTGTAATTAAAATGTACAGTTACATGCAAAGTTTTAAAGTGAGCATTTTCCAGAGGTGCTTTTCTAAGTTCTTGAATGCCTCTCCCTTTTCTGAAGTGGCTGCTTCGTGGGGCTGTTGGTCTTTGGCAGGGGGTGAGTGCAGGGTTCCTGTTGTGGGTCCTTTGTTCTCACGAGGGCAGTGCCCGTTTTCCCCGTCTCCTGCTTGCCCAGACTGTTCCCGTGCGCAGAGAGACTGGCCTGTTTGACCTGCAGCTGTGCTGTTTGAGCTGCAGCTGTGTAGCCTGCGCTGGCCCATCTGGCTACACTCAACACCGTTTGCTGATCAGCACTTGAAGTCTGTCCGTCATAGCTGAGACACTGAATATTTTATCTGTTTAATTTTTATTCATTAAAATGCAGGTTTGAAAATTTGATTCTGTTATTAGAAAGCACTTAAGTATGTTTAGAATCACTTGGCCTTGGGAGTCTACTTTGTCAACTGTGTATTTTATGAGTCTAAATGGAGATCAGATGTTTTCAATGCAAATTTCACTGTCCAAATTGAAATGTGTTACATATGTAAGCTACTCAGATGGTTTTTGAGGACTTAATATGAAATAACCTATGTAAAATATCTCAATAATTTTTCTTAGATTGATTTCATGTTGAAATGGTCATATTTTTGATCTGTTGGAATAACTATGATACATTATTAAAATTATTTTTATTTTTTAAGATGGAATCTTACTCTGTTGACCAGACCGGAGTGCAGTGGTGCAATCTTGGCTCACTGCAACCTCCGCCTCTTGGGTTCAAGTGATTCTCCTGCCTCAGCCTCCTGAGCAGCTGGGACTACAGGACTACAGACTCCCGAGCAGCTGGGACTACCACCACGCCTGGCTGATTTTTGTATTTTTGTAGAGACAGAGTTTCACCATGTTGGCCAGGCTGGTCTCGAACTCCTGACCTCAAGTAATCTGCCCGCTTTGGCTTCCCAGAGTGCTGGGATTACAGGCATGAGCCACTGCAACCAGCCATTATTACAATTAATTTTATGTGTTGTTGTTTTTCTTGTTGGTGTTTTTTGTTTTTTTTTTTTACTTTTGTTAATGTGACTAAGAACAATTTTTTTTCCCCACCCGGAGATGGATCCTCACTCTGTTGCCTGGACTGGAGTGCAGTAGCACGATCTCAGCTCACTGCAGCCTCTGCCTCCTGGGTTCAAATGATTCTCCTGCCTCAACCTCCTGAGTGGCTGGGACTAACAGAAGCATGCCACCATACCTGGCTGATTTTTGTATTTTTAGTAGAGATGGGGTTTCACCATGTTGGCCAGGACGGTCTTGAACTCCCAAACTCAGGTAATCTGCCCACCTCAGCCTCCCAAAGTGTTGGGATTACCGGCGTGAGCCACCGCACCTGGCCATGTTTATTAATACGACTAAGAACATTCTGAATTGCACCTGTGGCTCCATTGGTGTCCTGGGCAGGTGGCTCTGTGCTGTCCACACAGGTTGTCTCCTGTGTCTTCGTCTTCGCTGCGTGTGACTTTTTGGTTCCTGTGGCACGTGGGGTCCTGTATGGGACATTGGTTCTACAGCAGATTTATAGTAAGGATGTACCTACTAAAAAATACAAAATAGAAAGAATAGACACAAACATAGAAATAAGTATCACCTCACAAAAATTTTGGAAAGTAGAAAAAGAAAAATGCATTCGCAGCTTTCCAGTAGCCGATATCCAGGCTGTCTTCATAAGCATGGATCATGTGTCCCTCTCCCGCATGGGTAGACACTGTTTTCTCACCTTAAGTGTTTGTGAGTGAAGGATTCTTGATGTGTTGACTTGGCAGATGCAGTTGTTGAACAGTAGTTTATCTAAAGATCGTAAGAGACTTTTGGAGACATTTCACGTCCTTTTTTCCCTTGGAAAACGTGAGTTGGAGAAATCGCTGCTTGCCAAAAATAAGCCGTGAAACGTATTTCAGAGTAGATCGTTATTTACTTGCTGGCGAGGAGCCACAGAATACCATTTACATTTGAAAATAGAGCGCTGCAAAGTTTTTATAAGTAGTGAATCCCATCAGAATTACACATTTTGATTATGGCTCTAAATTTTATATTAAATAAACTAAAAATTTCATTGTATTGTATTACCGTCTCTTGCTCCTTCAGGTGTAGCATACATGCTAGATTCTAGACCTGTTTCTTGTGTTACAGTGGTGTTATCCAGGCAGGGTATCATGTAGTGAAGGTGATGTCTGGTGGTGGTGAGCCCAGTGAAGGCGCATCCTTGCCGTGTGTGATGAGGGCCTGTGGGTTGCTATGGGATTCCCCAACCCTGGCTCCTCTGTCTCCTGCTTCTGTCCTTACTCATGCTGCTGGTAGTTTTCTGGTGTGAGACACGGGGGCAAGTGGGATTGACAAGCCTGCTGTCACATTAGGAACCTGAGTTAAAGTGGAGCTGAAAGCATGTCCTCGCTCTTGATGTTGTGCAGAGAGCCACCTGTGCTCCTGGCTCAACGGGGCAGGTGTGGTGGGTCTGGAACCAGGCCCTGGTTTGGCTCTCCTCCCCTCCATGTTCCCCTGTCCTGTCTGATTTGCTTCACACTGACATAAGAGTTACTTTCCCTCGGCCTCCCAAAGTGCTGGTATTACAGGCATTAGCCACCGCGCCCAGCTAGCATCCTTTCAAGTACTGGGGTACACCCAAGCTCCCAGCTTCTAGCTAGGAGTCATTTTGTCCCTCTTTATCCCAAAGGACTTGCCACCATCTTTGGTTCCCAAAGCCCAGGAGGGTCCAGGCTCTTCAGCCTCCAACCACTTTGCATTTCTTGTCTGCTTTTCGTTCATGGAGATAATTAACTTATTTTTCAGCCTGGGCATGTCTTTTTTATTTACTTTATTTTTTATTTTTATTTTTTGAGATGGAGTCTCACTCTGTCGCCCAGGCTGGAATGCAGTGGCGGGATCTCATTTCACTGCAGCCTCTGCCTCCCGGGTTCAAGTGATTCTCCTGCCTCAGCCTCCTGAGTAGCTGGGACTACAGGTGTGCACCACTATGCCCAGCTAATTTTTACATTTTTAGTAGAGACAGGGTGTCGCCATATTGGCCAGGCTGGTCTCGAACTCCTGGCTTCAAGTGATCCTCCTGCCTCAGCCTCCCAGAGTGCTGGGATTACAGGCACGACCACCGCACCCAGCCTTTATTTACTTTGTATATCTCATCTATTACTGCTGCAGTTTGCAGAAGAGAGGATGCCCTCAAACCTAACTTCTCCAAACCATCCCAAATGGGAAGTCTGCTCCACGTCAACAGCATTGTTGCTTTTAAAGACTATACGTCAACATGGCAGATTATAGCAAAAGGATGTCGAGGGAGCAATAGGAAAGCAAGCCTGAGAGTCCTGGAGAGAAGGTGGCAGAGCTGCCTTTTGAAGGTGGTTCCTTCCTCAGACCCTGCCCTTCCTGCCTTGTTCCTCCAGTTGCCAGATTTGCTGTTGGAGCTCCTCCACGGGCGAAGAGGTGAGGCTGGACTGAGAGGGAGATGGAGAAGCTGCCAGAGATTCTTTTGGATCTAGAATTGAGACAGCAGTTCCAGCCAGGTCCAGAGGTGGGGGCTGTCACCCAGCCCCCAGGGGAATGGTACTGATTGCAGAATGTGGCGAGAACTCCCTGGCTGGGAGAGGGAGGTGCTTGCTCCCTTGAATCACCTGAGCTCAGGCTGGAAGGCCCAAGGGGGAGGACGAGGCCAGCTCACTCCAGCTCCATCCCCTCCCTTTAACCCTAAGCTAGTTAACCCTCCCAGACTCCAGTCCTTTTTCCTAAGTGCCCTCCCTGCAAAGTCTGCACCGAGCAGCGCTCCCTCGCACCAGCTCACCCTGCACTGTCTTGTCTTTCAGCAACCCCATGGGTTTGAACTTGAGACGATTCATTTTCCTAAAAGCCTCTTTGGGCTGAGGGAAGGCATGGGTGGCTCTGCCAGTTTTGGAGTGGGGGCCGACTCTTCTCAGAGCCGCTGCAAGGGCCAGGGCCACCCTCCCAGGCGGGTGTCTCCGGGCTGGGCAGCAGCTTTGTAGGCAGCCTGGGTCATCCCCACTGGTCTGGGAAGCTGGGGGTGCACCGGCTCCTGCTCCTGATAGGGCCAAGGCACCTTCCTTACCTAAGAGCTGACTTTCTTGAAGAGTGGGCACAGAGGAGCCGGCAACCTGGGCTGTGTAGGCACCCAGGAGAAAATCTGCAGCTCAGTATCAGAAGTCTCCACCAGCACGGCTGTTGCAGAGATGGGGAAACTGGGCTGAGAGGGAAGGGGGCTTCCCCAAATCACCAGCCCTGGAATGTTTGGAGCTTTGGGGGTGGATCTCCCAGGAAACGTGTTTTTATGGCACCACCGCCTCTGGTCACCCACCCCGAGGTGTGGCGGGCCTGGACAGCCAGCTTGACTGAGGGCCAGGCTGGTGAAGTCAAAACTACCACTCAGGAAGAAGACCTAGCCCTTCTCCAGACAGAGTTCAAATGTGAGGGCTGCCTTCTTTGGGCCTCAAATTCCCCACGTGAATTCCAAGGACCCCTCTAGCTCCTACACTCTGGGCCAAGGTTTCCTCTGAGCCGCAGTCAGCCTAGAGGACCTAGGATACATCTTCCTTGGACAGAGACCCACCATAGGGGCAGCAGGAGGTAGGGGTGGGGGTAGGCAAGATTCCTGTGGGGAGGTGGAGCTGTCATCAGAGATGGTGTCTGCAGGCAGTGGGTGTATCGTGGCTCTGCTACTACTTGCTGGGTGGCCCCATGACGTTTCTTTCCCCACTCTGACCTCAGTTTCCCTATCTGTTCTGTGGAGATAAGATGCCTGCCTACATATTTGTGGACTGGGATGTGTGTGGGCCAGTTGCAGTGTTTCTTGGTGTGGTCCTGGGGCAGGCTGCACCACCCCATAGAGATTTCTGGGCCCCACCCTAGGCTCACAGGACCAGAATCTCTGGGAATGAAGCCTGGGAATTTGCATTTCCACAGGCATCTGGCTGATTCTGACATGACTGAAAAGCACTAATAGTATATAGCAAGCTCTTTATAAAAGGTAAATTCATAGCTGCCTTTTACTAAACATAAATCTCACCTTCCCTTCCTCAGTTAAGGACACACACTGCAGTTGAAAATCACTGTGCCTTTCCAGATGCAGAGTCTGACCTTTCCGATAAGATTCTGTTAACTGCTGCTTTCTGCAGTTTGTATTCCAAAACAAGGGGAATATGTTTCCATTTTTTCAATACAAATGTTTAAGTCGGATATGCTTTCTCAAACTGGACACACACTCACACAGCTTAGGGTTTCAGCTATGGCTTCCTCTCAAATTATTAGCCTCTTTCTGCCAGGGAGCAGTTTTTCCCAGACAAGACCCTGGACAGAGGTTGGTGGGGCCCTCCTCATCAGAATCACTAGATTATGACTGACCCCTAGAGGTGGCTTTTCTGCTTAAGTGTCAGCCCATGGGCTGGGTTGTGACCCCCAAAGCTGCGGCAGAAGCTTCCACCCATCCTGGGTCCCCCCTGCCATCTATGGGGAAAGGCCTGTCCCTTGTCTTCTGGGCCCAGCCGGCCTCACAGGCATTCAGCAGATTGGAAAGTCGAAGCATGTGCTGTGCTTGGCTGGGCTCTGCTGTGCCCCTTTTTGGGGTGAGGTGGAGTGCATCCAGCCCCCAGCATCCCTGCCGTTTATTCCCACCCCTCATCCCCACCCCCATACACACTCACAAGTACAAACACAAGCACAGTCACTGGCACACACCACTCTGGACAGCACCATTTCCAGCCTCAGCGGGGCAGTTTCCTTACAGGGAAGTTAATGAGGCACTAACGAAGGCTCAGGGGACAGGGGGAACCTCTATCGAGAAGAGGCTCCTAGACCTGGTTCTGCCTCTGAATTGCTGGGGGTCCTTGAGAAAGTTGCTATCCCTCTCTGGTCTCAGTTTCCTCAGGTGAGAAATGGGGGGCCGGCCAAATGGTCTAAGGTTCTGGGAACCTCTAAATCAGAGCCCGTAGCTGGTGGTCAAGATGAGGGAGAGGCCCTCAGGGTCAGCCGAATGCCTGAGAGGCAGGACAGGCCCAAAGGTGAGCAACGTGAGCACATCAGGTGGGCTCAGAGCTGGCGCATGAGCCCCACAGCCTGCAGAGCAGCCCTGTACTCGGGAGCCCGCTCACACCCACCCAGTGGGACTTCAGAGATGTGGGGTCCAGCCTTTCCTACTATTGCTGGGCTGAGGGCTGGGAGCTGCAGATTCTGACCCCACAGCTGCCTTAGACATGCCAGATGGTCTGGGGCAAGACACACCCCTCTCTATGAAATGAGCAGCCAGTCCAAATAGGTACATTAGAGAAGGGCTGTGGGATGGACCCAGCTGTAGCCTGGGGCTACAGACTGGCTTCCGGGGTACTCAAGCAGCTGGCCTCTGGGGTAGCAGCCCCAGGTATGAGAGGCAGGACTCAGAATCTAGGCCAAGCCTCCATAGGAATCCCCTCTGGAGAGCCCGGGCACTCTGCAGGAGGGGCAGCAGGCAGCAGGTGCACCAGGAGCATGTTTCACAAGGTGCCCAATATCGCATCTGCTCAGATAGGCAGCGAGTTGGAAAGTGGATGCAATAGGCAGGGTGGCGGCTGCTCCCCACAGCCAGGAGTCCGGCCCAGCACCCACCTGAGTCCGCCTCAGTCCTGCTCAATTGGGTTATCCGTGCTCTTGGCCCTCTGGTCCCACCCACAGAGGGAGGTCTTTGGGGCGACCAGGTGAGCTGGCCCTTGTGGGAGGATGTAACTGACTCCTGAGCCTGGCGAGCCAGGCAGCCCCTCGCCAACATCCCCACCCCTACCTCTCCAGCCCCCCCGCATTCCCTGATCCTCCCATCCGCTCCCCTGACCCAGCAGTTGCCTCTGCTCACTCTCTTTTCCTGCTCCCAGGCTCGCCTGGTCATGTGTCCTTCACTCTCCTCTGAGTCTCCCTCTTTCCAAGCCGCCTCCACTCTACTTGACACACTCTCCCTTAAGACACCAGAGTACACAAGCGCAAGTCCCTGCACCTCACCTTTACTCCCAGACATGGGAGGGAGATGACATGAAGACCCAAACGCCACTTAGCAGGAGATCTGGGGTATGCAGAGGGGCAGAACGGAGGCTGTGGAAGCTCCAGGGGCTCCCTGCAGGAGGCCACATGTAAGCTGGCTATTGAATGTGGCTCTGAGCTGAGACCTCTCCTTGAAGCTCCAGACCAGGAGCCAGCTGCTAGCTGGACCCCTCCATTTGGTGCCTCAGAGAAACTTTGCACTCTGTAGGTCTAACTTTGAACCCAGAAAATTCCCCCATGTCGGCCCTGTCTCTTCACAGGGAAAGCACCACCTCAGACCCAGTTCTGCACCAAACCCACATTTGAGTCACGAGGCTCCTGCCCTGCACTGTGAGCACTCTGGATAAGCCAGTGCTGAGGGGGAAAGAGCTCTGAATGCCAAGCCAAAACATGAGCTTCAACTCCACCTCCAGCTCTGAGAGCTGTGGGTAGGGAAGGGCCCAAGTCCAGTTTGCTGTAGAAAGACCAGTCTGCCACTGTATGGCACATGGATGGCACGGGCAGAGTGTGGGTGGAGAGAATAGAAGGTGGGCAGGGCGGGGGAGGCAGGGACATGGCTGTAGCCGTGGAGATGGGAGGACAGACAGGACTTGGTGGCCACTTGGGTGAACCAAGGGAGGAGTCAGGAAGAGACACCCAGTTTTGTATCAGATGTGTAGAGCGTGGGATGCTGTTCATTGACGGAGGGAGGAGGAGGAGGAAGAGGTATGGCATGGGGAGGAGGTAGCTGAGCTCTGTCGTGAATGTCATTTGAAGTCCCCAGGGAAAGCCAGGCCGGCCAGCACCTTCACTGCTTCAGCCAGCTCTCAGGGTGTCTGTGCTCCCTGGCCCTCTCAGCTCCTGCTTCATAGCTGTCAGCTGCAGTGGGAGACAGCTGCACAAGGGCCCAGCATGTCTGTGTGTTTACCCAGGGGACTGCCGCATGGCCCATGCCGAGCAGAAGCTGATGGACGACCTTCTGAACAAAACCTGTTACAACAACCTGATCCGCCCAGCCACCAGCTCCTCACAGCTCATCTCCATCCAGACGGCGCTCTCCCTGGCCCAGTGCATCAGCGTGGTAGGTGCAGAGGGTACCTGTGGCTCAGGCTCAGGTGAAGAGGAAGCTCATGCCCAAGCCCTAAGCAGTCAATGTCCAGAGGAATGAAATGACTAGAGTTGACTTAGACTCACCGGTACACGGTGGGGAGGCTGGAGGAGGGTCCATGAGGTTTATAGGTGTCCAGTATTTAATGAGGTCATGGTTTTGTTAACAAAGAAGAAATGAGGGTGGGAGCGAGATCACCACTGGCTAGGCAGCCAATGGGCCTGCATAGACTCTGCTCAGCTGAGTCTCCAGCACGACCATGAGCTTCTCCTCCTCATCCTCCCAGCCCCACCCTACTCTCTCCCCCAGCTTGCTCAACAGGTGACCTTATAGGCTCCCTACTCTTTGCAGGGAATAAGAACCAGACTGGGGGAACTGACGGGTACAGAGGCCCAGGTGTAGGCGCAGGACCACAGGCAGTGAAGCGTCTACTGACCCAGGCGGGTGAGGGTCTGGAGAGTGGGCATGGCTGCTGCAGGCATGGAAAGCAGGCACAGATGGCGGCACTCCCAGGGCCCATTGTCAGGGTCTCCACATGTGGACATGTGCAGAGGTGGGGGTGCTGAGGGAGGAGGGGCAGGGAATTTCTCATCTTCTCTCTACTGCCTCTGAGTTGGAGATGTCAGAGGGAGCCATGGCCCACTGTAAAGTAACACAATGTCCCCACCCACAGGATTAGAACCCCTCCCCTGGAAGCAGCTCTGAGGGGAACAGTCACATGTAGAGAGTGCAGGGCACTGTGTCCAGCCGGGGGAAGGAGGTCACCAAGGGGGTTGACCCCCCTCTGGCCAGGTGGCTACCTTCTGACACACCAGCCTCTGTCTCTAGCACGGTGGCCCCCACACACCCAGCCTGTGAAACCTACAGCCCTCAAGAAGGCTTTGGCCAAATTAATGAGCGGCTCCCTCTCCCAGGAGGAAGCACGGGTGAAGGATGTGGAGGGCAGTAGAGTTGTGTGTGCTCCGCCCCCTTTCTCCACAGTCGGATGGAAAGAAGGGGGCTTTCAGCCAGGCTCGCCCAGCCTGGGGTCTGAGTGTCACTGTCCAGCTATTGGCTTCTTGCTTAATGGGTGAGCCCAGCTGCTCCCGTGCAGCTGCCGCCCTAGTGAGGGTGAACCGGCAGGCGAGTTACATTTCTGAAAGCCTGGGAATACAGTAAATATTAGGCTGTGGGCTGCTGGGCCAGGAAGAGTTGTTTATTTTTCAGGGTTTGTTTATCTATTGACTTGATGAGGGAGGGTTATAGGTACAACCAGTTTAAAGATGGAAATTTTGAGAGAGCAGGCAGGGATTTAGTGCTGGGTAAGCCTGGTCAAAGCGGCTCTTTTGGGGCGGCCAGAATCCAGTACCAATGTCCTCAGCATGTTCATCAGCTGCTGGGGGAGTGCGGGACAGCATGAAAGCACAGGAGAACTTTCTGGATGATAGAAATACTCTGTATCTTCAAAGGAGGTGGGTTCCATAGTAATGTTAAATGAGTTAAAACTCATCAAAATGTAAACCAGACCTGTGCATTTCACTAATAGAAATTATACCTCCAATTAAAAACATGTTTTAAAAGACAGATGGGCCGGATGCAGTGGCTCATACTTGTAATCCCAGCACTTTGGGAGGCTGAGGCAGGTAGATCACCTGAGTCAGGAGCTCGAGACCAGCCTGGAAAACATGGTGAAATCCTGCCTCTATTAAAGGTATAAAAAAAAATTAGCCAGGCATGGTGGCACACGCTACTCGGGAAGCTGAGGCAGGAGAATTGCTTGAACCCAGGAGGCAGAGGTTACAGTGAGCAGAGATCGTGCCATTGCACTAGAGCCTGGGCAACAGCGCAAGACTCCATCTCAACAACAACAAAAAAAGGACAGATGAAGGTTTTCAACTTTCAATAAAGGCAGAGGAGCTTGTTACAGATTCGCCTCCCCGCAAGAGCAGTTAGAAAAACTGGATAAAAATGTGCCCCGCCCCCAATCAAAAACAATTGTTGGAAGGTAATTGGAGACCTCAGTCAGGACTTGAGTGACCAGGCCTAGGAGGTGATCCTGACAGTCTGTAGTGCTTTCCCACATTTGGTGATTGGTCAACAGTAGAGGGCTAAGAGGCTAAGAAACTGAGTATGAAGTGGTAGTTAAGAGGCTGGAGAGCCTAGCTGAATGTTTGGCACTCTCACAGGGCTGAAATGACCTAATGAGAATTTGGGTCCCAGGAGGGAGATGGGACCTTGGTGGGGACCCTGGAAGGGCCACCCCTGGGAGTCCAAATGAATAAAACATAGACCAGCCATCAGAAAACCTAAAACCTGCTTTGAACCAGCTTAGTCCCGAAGTAGATGAAGGCGATCTGCCCTTACTCCAATTGTGTGCCATAAACTCAAAGTCAATACTCTCTGGAGGCAGATAAAAGTTTACTATGAATGCCAAAAGACAACACAAGACTAAATGAGAAAGACCAAGAAGAAAACTAATAGAAACATACATGTAAGGAAGAAACTTTTTTTTTTGAGACGGAGTTTCGCTCTGTCACCCAGGCTTGAGTGCAGTGGCACGATCTCAGCTCACTGCAACCTCTGCCTCCCAGGTTCAAGCGATTCTCCTGCCTCAGCCTCCCAAGTAGCTGGGATTACAGGCATGCGCCACCATGCCCGGCTAATTTTTGTATTGGCCAGGCTGGTCTTGAACTCTTGACCTCAGGTCATCCATTTACCTCGGCCTCCCAAATTGCTAGGATTACAGGCGTGAGCTACCATGCCTGGCCAGTATTTTGCCACAATTTAAAATAAATAAAATTTTTTTTTCAGGTTTGTGCTCAGACTATATTCTAAACAGTCACATGGCGGCTTACTCTTCTCCAGGCCTTGCTGCCGGCTTTTACATGTTTATTGTCTTTGCCTTCTTGTCATGTGCTCATTAGATGGCAGCTTCCAGGTGCTCCTAAGGGGCCAGGAAAGAGAGTGAGAAGGCACGGAGGTTGCCAGATCATCCCCCTTGGGGCCCCGCCCTCATCAACTCCCTCAACCGGGTCTCCTGCAACTATCGGTGGGCCATCTCGGCCACCGCTTCGCCCTGAGCTTCCTGCTGCTGCAGCTGGGCAGTGCCTCCTTCTCAGAGGCCAGCTGCTGATAGGCGGCCACGTACTGCTGCAGGTGACCCAGGTAATGGTCTCGCTGCTGCTGCAGACTCAGCCTCTTGGCTCTTCAGCTCCACCTGCAGGATAGGCGTCAGGGTAGGTAGTGGCTGGCTTCCAGATTCTGGGCCCATAAACAGGGTAGTGAGGGCACTGCGGGGCTCTGTCGCCTACCCAGGCCCCTGGCCCTGGCCCCTTCCTCCAGGCCTAAATGACTGCCTCCCTTGCCTAGAGGCCCATGCCTCCCTCCCCAGCCTCAAATCTCACACCCTTCTTCCCACCATTTAAACTGTAGGCCACAGACTGGTGGAAAAGCAGAGGGAGCCAACCACCATCTGCTAAGTTGTGGTGAGGTCGTTCTGTATGATCTCCAGGGTTTGCACACACCTCCGCCTGCTCCCCCCAAGAGCTCGGCCTTCTGCCCCAGCTTCCCCAGCCTCTCCTCCAGCTCCTGCAGCCTCACCTAGTGTTCCTGCATCTTCTCCTCCTGCTGCCGCAGCCTCACTTCCTGCTCCCGCATCTTCTCCTCCTGCCTCCGCATCTTCTCCTCCTGTTCTTGCATCTTCTCTTCCTGCTCACACATCTTCTCCTCCTGCTCCCACATCTTCTCTTCCTGTTCCTGCATCATCTCCTCCTGCTCTCGTATCTTCTCCTCCTGCTCCCGTATCTTCTTCTCCTGCTCCCTTATCTTCTCCTCCTGCCTCCGCATCTTCTCCTCCTGTTCTTGCATCTTCGCTTCCTGCTCACACATCTTCCCCTCCTGCTCCCCCATCTTCTCTTCCTGTTCCTGCATCATCTCCTCCTGCTCTCGTATCTTCTCCTCCTGCTCCCGTATCTTCTTCTCCTGCTCCCTTATCTTCTCCTCCTGCCTCCGCATCTTCTCCTCCTGTTCTTGCATCTCCTCTTCCTGCTCCCACATCTTCTCCTCCTGCTCCCCCATCTTCTCTTCCTGTTCCTGCATCATCTCCTCCTGCTCTCGTATCTTCTCCTCCTGCTCCCATATCTTCTCCTCCTGCTCCCGTATCTTCTCCTTCTGCTCCCGTATCTTCTCCTCCTGCTCCCTTATCTTCTCCTCCTGCCTCCGCATCTTCTCCTGTTCTTGCATCTTCTCTTCCTGCTCCCCCATCTTCTCTTCCTGTTCCTGCATCATCTCCTCCTGCTCTCGTATCTTCTCCTCCTGCTCCCGTATCTTCTCCTGCTCCCGTATCTTCTCCTCCTGCTCCCTTATCTTCTCCTCCTGCTTCCACATCTTCTCCTCCTGCTCCTGCCTCTTTTCCTCCTGCTCCCGTATCTTCTCCTCCTGCCTCCACACCTTCTCCTCCTGCTCCCGTATCTTCTCCTCCTGCCTCCACATCTTATCCTCCTGCTCCTGCCTCTTCTCCTCCTCCCATATCTTCTCCTGCTCATGCATCTTCTCTTCCTCCCTCCACATCTCCTCCTGCTCCCGTATCTTCTCCTGCTGCCTCCACATCTTCTCCTCCTGCTCCCGTATCTTCTCCTCCTGCCTCCACACCTTCTCCTCCTGCTCCCGTATCTTCTCCTCCTGGTCGTGCATCTTCTCCTCCTGCCTCCACACCTTCTCCTCCTGCTTCCGTATCTTCTCCTCCTGCTCGTGCATCTTCTCCTTTTGCCTCCATATCTCCTCCTGCTCCCTTATCTTCTCCTCCTGCCTCCACATCTCCTCCTGCTCCTGCCTCTTCTCCTCCTCCCGTATCTTCTCCTGCTCGTGAATCTTCTCCTCCTGCCTCCACATCTTTTTCTCCTGCTCCCGTATCTTCTCTTCCTGCTCCCGTATCTTCTCCTCCTGCCTCCACATCTTCGCCTCCTGCTCCTGCCTCTTCTCCTGCTCGCGTATCTTCTCCTCCTCCTGCCTCTTCTCTTCCTGCTCCCGTATCTTCTCCTGCTCGTGCATCTTCTCTTCCAGCTCCCGTATCTTCTCCTCCTTCTCCCACATCATCTCCTCCTGCCTCCGCATCTTCTCCTCCTTCTCCCACATCATCTCCTCCTGCCTCCGCATCTTCTCCTCCTGCTCCCGTATCTTCTCCTCCTGCTCCTGTATCTTCTCCTCCCGCTCCTGTATCTTCTCCTCCTGCCTCCACATCTTCTCCTCCTGTTGCTGGTTCAGGCGGTTCCACAACTCGTTCTCTTCCACCTGGGCTTGGAGCTTTGCTGACACACTCTGCAGCTCCTTACCCAGGTGGTCAGCCTCCGCCTGCAGCTGCTGCTGGAATAGTGAAAGTGTTTTTTTGAACCTCAGAAGGAAGCAGAATCATGAGCTAGCCACATAAATGTAATCTATAGGCTGGGCGCGGTGGCTCACGCCTGTAATCCCAGCACTTTGGGAGGCCGAGGTGGGCGGATCACGAGGTCAGGAGATCGAGACCATCCTGGTTAACACAGTGAAACCCCGTCTCTACTAAAAATACAAAAAATTAGCTGGGTGTGGTGGTGGGCACCTGTAGTCCCAGCTACTTGGGAGGCTGAGGCAGGAGAATGGCGTGAAGCCGGGGGGTGGAGCTTGCAGTGAGCCGAGATTGCGCCACTGCACTCTGGCCTGGGTGACAGAGTGAGACTACTTCTCAAATAAATAAATAAATAAATAAATAAATAAATAAATAAATGTAATCTATAAAATAATGGTTTTCATCCATGATCCTTTAAAAAAATATTTTTAAGCCCTAACTCTTGAGATTCTGATTCCCCAGGCAGGGCCCCAATTTGTACATTTTTAGTACACTCTAGAGGATTCTATGGCGGGGCCAGAACAAGGACCCAAATTTTCCAGCTCTTGGCTGGAGCCTCCCCATACCCTGCATGATCCCTAGACCATGGTCCCAGCTGGATGGGTCTCCCACAACCCCCGGGGCTGCAGCTGCTCACCTGTGGCAGCAGGAGCTTGGCCCTCTCCAGTTTCCTTTTTAGCTCCTTTACGTTGAGCTGGATCTCAGACTTTTCAGATTCTACAAGTTGAAGTTTTTCTTGTAGTTTGGCATTTTTCTCCTTCAGCTCCTCATCAGTTATGCTATGGCCAGAGGCAGTAGAGAAAGGAATGAATGAAGAACATAAAAGACCACTTTGGTGATTGACCCCCTACCCTCGCCCCACAACCACAGAACCGTGGCGCTGGAAGGGACCCCAGGAATTAAAAGTCCCAGGTGGCAGGCCAGAGAGAAGACATGAGTTGCCTGAGGCTACCCCATGAGTCAGTGGCACAGCCAGCACTAGAGTTTCCGTGTGCACACATGAAAACATGTATGAGCCTCTCCCCACACTCACCTGGACCCCCCACCTCCCAGCACACCACCCATGCTAAGGGCCCCCAGACCTCCCATTCCACCTTCCCCCATCCTACGTGTTCCTGTACAGTTCCAGACTCAGGGCGTCCCTCTCCTTTGTTAACTCCTCAATGTACTGCAAATAGAGAAAGGTTAAGTCAGGATAGAGCAGGCACAGCAGTAGCTGGACGACCAGGAACAACTGCTACAGTGACTACTCCACAGTAACACTTCCTCACTCTCAATCACACCTGACGTGTTCTCAAGGCATTTCCAAGCCCATGGTCTCATTTGTTTTTCTTTCTTTCTTTCTTTTTTTTTTTTTGGCAGAGTTTCATTCTTGTTGCCCTCACTGGAGTGCAATGGCACAATCTCAGCTCACCACAACCTACACCTCCTGGGTTCAAGCAATTCTCCTGCCTCAGCTTCCCGAGTAGTTGGGATTACAGGCATGTGCCACCACACCGGGCTAATTTTGTATTTTTAGTAGAGACGGGGTTTCTTCGTGTTGGTCAGTCTAGTCTTGAACTCCTGACCGCAGGTGATCCGCCCACCTCAGCCTCCCAAAGTGCTGGCATTACAGGCGTGAGCGAGAGCACCTGGCCCTCATTTGTTTTTCAAAGAACTCAGTGGATGTGGAAGGGACAGGGAAAGAGATTGAATTTAGGGCTGGCTAACAGGGGCCCAGAGCGATCAGATAATATTGTTATTGTTATTACTGTTATTACTACCACTGTTGGAGCCTTTATTGGGTGCTTCACCAGGCACTATGCTAACAATCCCATTTAATCCTCACAACCTCCATAGGAGACGGTTACCATTATTACCTCTATTGTGTAGATGAAAAACATGCAGTATTAAAGGTTAAGTGCTGCCTAAGATCACTTGGAGCTGGGATTTCAACACCCAGGTATATCTGATTCTCTAAGCCCATTCTTCCGCTGGAGGTAGGGGCACAGTTAAGAAGGAGGAAATTAATCCTTTGTTGAATTTTTGAAAGGATGATACGTTCGCATAGTCCAAAACTCAGAAAGTCCAGAAGGGAAATATCTCCCCCCAACACTGTGCCTCTATCCTGAGTTTTTTAATGAATCCTTACAAACGTGTTTTATGTATGTTACCATAATACGTACACACACACACATATACACCTGCCCCCTCTCTCCACACAAATAATAACATACTCAAGATACTCTTCTGTACCTTTATGGTACAAGTACCCTAACCGCCACTTAGGACTTGGCCAAGGCCACAGCCAAGTATGGGCAGGGCGGGCACTTGGCCTCTGAGATCTATGTCCAGTGCTCGCTCCTCACAGTGCTCCCCAACTCACCCACAACAGCCGACTCAGCCCCAGTCTGCCTCTAACAACCACACACAAAAGCAGCAAGAAATGGCTATGCTGCCTTCTGGGCAGGACACTCCATCCTACAGAAGGGACCTTTAGGCTCACTCCTCCATCTGCGAAGCTGGGCTCCCAAGGGACGGGGCCGTGTTTGGACTCACCCTATCCGCCTTCTTCTTCTGTGTAGCGACAGCAGAGAGAGCCTGCTCTAACTCTCCTGCAAACTTCCATGAATCATGCAGGCGGCTGATCAGATCCCTGGCCTCTCCTGGAATGAGAGACATTCAGATGTGGCCCAAAGGACTCCCCCTAAAGGCCTGTCAAAGTGCCAGGTTGAAGGATGATGGGGTGCCAGATTCCCACCTTCCAACTGCTTGACAGCATGCTGGCTGTAGTAGAGTGCCATCTGAAGCTCAGTTTTCTGACATGTAAGGATTCGTATGGTATGAACCTGGGCCTTTGGGAGAAAAGACAAGCAAATGCTGAAAGAGAAGCAAAGAAACATTCTCCAGAGGGCAGGAGGGAACTTCACACCCTCCACTCACCTCTAGCTCCCTCCTTAGGGCTTCCTGATGTTGGTGGCTTGCCTTCTGTTCCTATAGAAAGAGGAAAACAGAGCTCTTACTAGGGGGAGGCAGAGATCCACAGCAAGAGACATGCCCCCAGAATGGCACCACTGCCCCAGAACAGGCCCACCCATGGGACCAGTTTATCAGGGACCCTGTGGGGATGGGGTGGAATCTTGGGGGTGAGCCCTCTTCCCCAGGCTGGGAGTGGGTGAGATGAGCCTGGGGCCTCTACATCTGAGTGCCCCCAAACCCAGCGGTCATGTCGTGAGCAAAGAAATCACACGACTTCTTCCAGCTGAGCTCGGTTCTATTGTTTCTGTGGGGAGAGTCAAAGGAAGGTGACTGAGGGTGGCCCCCTTGACTCTATTCCCCAGGCCAGGAAGCGATAGGCAGGGGCCAGGAATGGATTTAAAAGGCACAGTTCTCAGACCCAATGGGAACATGAACTGGTCAACTCTCCTCAACTCCCAAAGAAGAGGGATTTGGGTCTTTTTGGTTTTTGCCCACAGCCACAGAACTCAAAGTCTGAAACTAGATTCTCTTGAAAAGACAGTAACAGAAACCTTCAGAGGTGGAGTGCGAGAAAAGCCCACCCTTCCGCCAGCTTGTGATTTAGAAAGGTGCATTCACTCAGCAAACGTTGAGCACATACGGGCCAGGGACGGTTCTTCACAGCGGGAATAGAGGTCAGAAAAGGCAGACAGGAGCCCTTGGCCCTGAGGTTTCCATTCTAGTGGGCCTTTAACTCTCGGGCTCTCAGAGCTAACAGAAACCTCTGATACTCTCTAACTCTACCTCAGGAAACGCAAGCCCAAGAAGGAGAGTTTACAGCAGGTCCTGGACGAGGGATTAACATAAAAACACAATGACAAATCTCATTTAAACTTCACAAATGTAAGGAAAACAATACCACTCGTATTTTACGGATGTGAAAAGAGAGGCCCAAAGAGCTCAAGCAATTTGCGCTAAATCATATCCCTAGCAGATGGAGGGGTAGGATTCAAACCCAGAATTCTTAGCCAGTACCTGGCAGTTCTTCCACAATCTTAACAATTACCCTCCACCACCCCTTGGGCCCTCTGTCCCCAGGAGCCCGGCCAGCCAAGACTCACATCCTCAGGCGAGTGGCAACCACCAGAAGTGGTTGTCTCAGGGTTAGTGCCATTATTTATTTTCTTCTTTTTGGTGTCGCTTGCTGCTGTACCAACACTAGGGTTGGTCTGGGGATGATGGTCTGTCAACTGTGGAAAGGAAGAGCAGTGATACTCATGAGAACTACAAGCTCCTACAGTCACATCCTGCTTTACAGTTTATACTAAATACTCTTATAGACCATCTGATTTAATGCCACCAACTGTAGGAAATGTTGTCACAATCACTTAGTGACTGAGAGAGATTGATACCATGGCTGAAAAAAAAGGCAGTAATGGAACTTAAACTCAGTCTTCTGACTCTGAGCTCTGGGATTTTGCCCTAAATCAGCAGCTGCCAGGGACCAAAACCAGAGGCAGAGGTAGAAAAGCAAATATTAAGTAGGCAGGAACTGTGCACTATGTGGTTTAGGGTTATTCACCCTCACACGTCTGTTAGTGTTAAAAAGTACACCAGTACCTCTCAAACCTTTACATCAATGTCTCCTCATGGCAGAAGGCAGCCTTTCTGCTAAATCTGGGAATTTAACAGAAAGAGGACAACCCAAGCCTCATTTCAGAGAGAAGTCTTGTATACGCTTATAAATCTATGTGACTTTCATCCCTAAGTACATTAATGTTTTGTCTCTCAATAGAATCAAGGGAAACTGATGCTTCAGAAAGATGCCCCATATTTATCCTGTGGCACTCAAAGTACCCCAGGTTGAGATGAGATGAGGAAGACTCAAGCTAAGTTCAGTTTCCCAAGATCTGTTCCACAGAAGATAAGCAGATCTCACTCCAGAACCAGTGACTGAGGGGCACTCTGGTCCCAGAACAATGGAGAATTCAAATCTGAGGTGCAGAACTGAGAAAAAATGTTAAAATCTCTCTGGAGAGTAGAAGCCTGGGAGAAAACCAAACCAAACCCGTTCTCCCATTGCCACCCAGAGACACTGTCAACGTGTTGAGCTCATGGGGGAGGTGTAGGCTTTTCACACTGTCAAGGTCTGTGGTAAGGAAGTCAGGCAGCCTGAAACCTCTCTCTTCTAGGTCCCACAGTCCCCATTCCCCTTCCAGCTGGAAACCTGTGCTGCAACCAGAGGAAACAGAAGTGGGCAAGAACACTTAGGGGACTGGGTCCTAAGACCAAAGGCCGGTCTTGTGGTAGTAATGACAGTTTGTAGCGGGACTGTGACATCACTACATTCTACTCCTCGGTGGAGTGGTTGGGGGGGACACATGAGTGCAATGCCCAAGTTGCCGCTTTGAGACTGGGGAGGGGGTCACAAAATTGGGAGCCAGGTCCTTGGAGACGTGACCCCAAAGAGCCCCGGGAGGTCAGGCTTGGGGCGGCAGGAGGTGAGGGCCAATTAAGGAGCAAGGAGCTCCAGGAGTCACATCCCCAAAGTCACCCTGTGGCAACTGGTGAGGGCAGGTTCTGGGGCACCCAGGTCCTTGGAGCTGTGAGCTCAAGGAGCCCAGGGAGGTCGGGTTTGGGGTAGCAGGAGGTAAGGGCGGAGTATGGAGTTGGAAGCCCCAGGAGTCACCTGCTCAAAGTCACCCTGGTGTGCCGGGCAGAGCAGGGGCAGGACTTATGAGGGGGTTGGGCTGGCTGACAAGATTTTGGTGTGGGGAGCCCAGAGGCACTGGGGTGGGGGGCCCAGCCTGGTGTCCCTCAGGAGTGGCACAGACTCTGGCAGCAGTTCGGCTGTCAGAGGGGGCCTCGGGTTGGGTTGGGGTGTTGGTGCGTTTACCTGTTCCTTGGCCTCGGCCAATTTGCTCTGTCTGGTTTCTTTGGACATCATAGGATGGGTAGGGAGGTGGGGATGGGTAGGGAGGTGGGGATGGGTAGGGAGGTGGGGATGGGTAGGGAGGTGGGGTTGGGGCCACATCAGCATGATCCAGGTGAGGACAAGTATATACCTCCAGTCACCTCTACGTCGCTGTGTGACTGAGCCAGAGGAGGCGTAACCAGGGCTGCACTAGAATGCAGAATAGGGGTGTGGCCTTCATGCTTGAAGCCCATTGGTCAATGAGAAAGATGAAAGGAAAAGGAGGTGTGGCCAGACAGCAGCGTGTCATCAAGGACCTGTGTTGTCACAAGGAAAGCTGCCTATGCAACCGCTGTCCCCGCCCACTCCAGGAGAGGGGCGGGGCTGGCTTTCACTTTAAAAACTTTAAAACTTTATTACCTCAATTGAGGTACAAGTCCTATTAAAATGGAAATTTTATAGTGTGCTTGATGATTGATAAAGCAGACTTTATTATCCAACATTCCAATAAGATAATCACAATGTTTTCTCTTTTTTGGAAAAACTTTCTCTTATTCTCCTACATTAGCGTTTAGTTTTTTTAAAAAAAACAAACAAACAAGAAACATGTCTAATATCTTTAAAAATACAAAGCTTTGAGCCAGGCATGATGGCTCATGCCTGTAATCCCAGCACTTTGGGAGGCTGGGGCGGGTGGATCACCCGAATTCAGGAGTTCAAGACCAGCCTGGCCAACATGATGAAATCCTGTCTCTACTAAAAATACAAAAGTAGCTGGGCATGGTGGCAGGTGCCTGTAATCCTAGCTACTTGGGAGGCTGAGGCAGGAGAATCCCTTGAACCTGTGAGGCAGAGGTTGCAGTGAGCCAAAATCATGCCACTGCACTTCAGCCTGGGCTGCTACAGAATGTGACTCTGTCTCTAAATACACACACACACACACACACACACGCACAGACACACACACACACACACACACACACACACAAGGCTTTCCATTTAATAAGCACTCAAAGTTCTTTACAAGGTTAAAGCAAATACAGGACCCTTCTAAAGTAAGGCTAAATGCTAAGTGATGGGGGAGAGAAAAAGGACATAAATAACTCCTACTCTCATGAGTTAATCACTAAATCCGATTTTTCTAGAATCACCTGGCCTCTAAGCCCTGAAAATGAAACTGAATTTCTCACTCGATACTTGGCTATGACTTGCAATCATGAAAACCAAGAATTGTGTTATGTCACTGTGTATTGCTTGTTACCTGGGATCAAGGGTTGACTTTTTCATGATTTGCTCCATTACCTGTGTGCTTCTTCTCCCAGTCCAAACTACGCTTTTTTCTAGAGTTCTACAATTTACAGTTAGTATGTAAGGGTGGCTCTCAAACATGTAGTCTCCGGACCAGGAGCACCTGGGAACTTCTTATAAATGTAAATTCTCAGGCCCCACCCTAGACATGAATGAATCAGAAACTCTGCAGTAGGGCCCAGCAATCCGTGCTGCAATAATCCCTCCAGGTGCTCAGGAACCTCTGCCATACAGCAGGTAGAAAAATGTGTTTCCTTCTGTAGGTCCAAAGCCAGGGATACTATATGTTCTGTCTCAATATGAAACAATGACATGCAATTAAAAGACATAAATCTCCTTCCTACTTCCACCCTCCAGCCAGTGTGTTTTATTTTTATGAGTTCAATAAGAAAACGTGTGGCAATCAGAGATTTCATCTAAAAAATATATCTACAGGTATCAGTTCTCATCCAGCCTGATCTCATCCAATATCATTTCTATCCTCTTACATCTAAAGTTTTAGAAAAGGATTTTCACAACGTAAGACTCAGGCGCACTAGGAGTTCTATGATAAAAGACCAAGTAGATCTGAATGTCCAAACTTACTAGAGAAGAAAAGTGGACTCATTGGCTATATTTTCAAATTGCATTCAACAGGAAATTAAAGGTTTGAATTTTTTCCACCTTCATCCTTCCAAGTTAATAGAATTAAACCAGAATACTCCATTCTTCCAAAGCCTGTAGCCAGGCAAACTTTTACTGTATTACTTCTTGCTTTTCAATGGATATAAAGCAGAGTCCTGGTAGGCACATTTTGTATACCTGCAAAGATGCAAAACTAAACAGTTCCCTCGGTTCAATATTAAAACAAAAGTCCTGTAAACCTCAGATGGTGAGTGTAATACTTCAGCACTAGCACGAAAGCCTCAAATATAAAAAGATACCAAGAACCTTGCTAGCAAACCAAAGTAAGCTCTTGGCCGGGAGCAGTAGTTCACGCCCGTACTCCCAGCATATTGGCAAGCTAAGGTGGGGTAAGTCAGGAGTTAAAGACCAGCCTGGGCAGCATAGCGAATTCATATCTCTACAAAGAAAATTTAAAAATTAGCTGGGCTTGGCGGCACACACCTGTAGTCCTAGAGCTACTTGGGAGGCTGAGGTGGGAAAATCACTTGAGCCCAGAAGTTTGAGGCTGCAGTAGCTATGATCATGCCACTGCACTCCAGTTGGGGTGACAGAGCGAGAGCTAATTATTACATTCTGTCCTGCTCCTGTTTCCACTAAAATCACTAACTTAAAATGTGTTCATTCAGCAGGATAAAAATTAAGTGAAATTTGACTTTGGTGCTTTGCTAGCAAAAAATAAATAAATAAAGTGAAATGACAAATTACTTACTGGGAGAAGATCTTTGTAACCTCAATGACAGATTAAAGGTTTGTATCCTTAGCCTATAAAGAAATCTTTTAAATTACTCAGAAAAAAAAAATGAATGATTTGCAGCAGAAAATGGGCAATGGAGAAACCAGCACTTCCCACAAGAATAAAAATGGCCAATGAGCAAATGAAAAAGATTCAAAAGCACTAGAAATCAAAGAAAGGTAATGAAAACAATGAGATTTTCTGCTTAAAGACCAGCGAAGACGACAAATGGAAGGCGGAACCTGGAGCTCTGTCCCTGTTGGTGGGAGCGTAAACTCAACCAATTTTCCTATAGGATGATTTGAACATTTGTTTTAAAAATCCTAAAACTGTTTTATATTATTTTCTTCTAGAAATTCTACTTCTATGAATTCAGTGCAAAAATCCTCACTCGAGTCCATTAAAATATATATAGAAGGAAATCCACCTCTGGGGTGGCAATGATTCACTTAACATACATCCAGCTGTTGAAAGTGATGATGCCAGGATATATTTCTCCCATAGAAACATGCTTAAAATATAGTAAGTGACAAAAGACCATGTATTGTGATTCTACTTTTTAAAATGTTTACAGCATAAAAAGTGTGAAAAGCAACAAACCGGAATGTTTTGAGTGGCAAAATTAAAGATTTTTCTTTACATTTTGTCATCCAAATTATTACAAAAACAATGTGATTTCCTTTATAATCATGGAAAAGTGTTATTTTCATTTATTTATATTTACATTTCTTTTCTTTTTCTTCTTTTTTCTCCTGTATGTATCCCACATAGGCTACAGAGCTTAAATCCCTGCCTCTTGAGAGAAATCAGCCCGTTTTCAGGACATGCAATACACAAAGCTGCCCCATCTTCCCTTTATTTTTATTTTTATCTTATTTATTTATTTATTTATTTATTTATTTATTTATTTATTTATGTTGAGATGGAGTCTCACTCTGTTGCCCAGGCTGGAGTGCGGTGGCGCATCTCAGCTCACTGCAACCTCCATATCCCGAGATCAAGCGATTCCCCTGCCTCAGCCTCCCGAGTACCTGGGACTATAGGCATGCACCACCATGCCCAGCTAATTTTTGTATTTTTAGTAGAGAGGAAGTTTTACCATCTTGGACAGGCTGGTCTCGAACTCCTGACCTCAAGTGATCCGTCTGCCTTGGCCTCCCAAAGTGCTGGGATTACAGGCATGAGCCACTGTGCCTGGCCTGTCATATTATTTCTAAACATTTGAGTGACATTTCAATTAAGTGAAATTTAATTCTTACTGACCTGATCTCTTATCCTCTGTTTAATGATACCTTCCAGTTGAAAGGTGTTTCCTCTGTAATCACGGGTGCCAAAGGAAATACAACATGTATTCATTAGGTGGATATCCACTAAACCACGGATTCATGCATTGTAGTCCTTAGACCCTCAGCATCAGAAACACGTGGGAACTTGTTAGACATGCAAATTCCTGGGCCAGCCCCACACCTCCTGAATCAGAAAGTGGGGAAGGACAGCTATCTGTGCTTTAATAAGCCTTGAGATGCTCCCTGAAGTTTGAAAACTACAGAACTAGAATACATATGGTAGTAAGTGCTCATACTTTATCCAAGGTACTAGGGACTCTTCCCCTCTTTTCCATTCTCTTTTCTGTTGAAATAAAATGAGAGCTCCTTTTGACTTAATGGGTATAAGAAAGAAGGCAATGAGATGACCAGGGTTTCAAGTTAGAGTTCAAAATTTAATCAGTGGACAGTGACAGGATGCAAGCCTTCTAAACAGATTGCTGCAAGGAAGCTGATTATAATCTATACAGTAGGTATCATTAGTGTATTGATGTTAAATTTTGGGGGTGGATTAATGGTATTGTGATTACATAGGAGAAGTCCTGGTTCCTAGAAGATATCTGCGAAAGTACTTAACAGTGAAATGCTCTGATACTGCCAACTTACTTTGAAATGATTCAGAGGGAAAAAGGGCACATATACAATCTTCCATACGCAGAAGACAGAAAACAAGTGTGACAAAACATTAACTAGTGAATCCAGTTGAATAGCATACAGATGTTCACTGTATGATTTTATCAACTTTTCTGTGTTTGCAAGTTTTCAAAATAAAAGTTGAGGGAAAGAAACATCACCCCAAATCTTTCTATGAAATGGGACCACAGAAAAAGCAGAGAAGTGAACACTTTGCAGAAAAGAGCACTGCACCCATCCGGACAGCATGGTCAAAGTGCAGGCTCTCCTCCAGGAGGCTCTTCTCTGGTCTCTTCTGTGCTGTCACTTCCCCCACATGCAGCCAAGGCTTTTTTCTAACAACTCTTTTTCTAAAGATGTAATTTTTGTCATTCATCTAAGAAAGAGAAGAAAAGAATTAGTATACATTTAGAAAATAAAATTACACTTACATTTGTGAAAAAGCAAAAAATACTTTGAAAAGTGGGGAAGCAAGAAATGTACTGTTCTACAATTCTGTTCTGTTCTTACCATCTTTTTATTCTGCCAATGACTTCCTATTCCTGCTGTGTATGGTGGGGTGAGCTGCAAATGATTTCTTTTCCTCATTGATTTAAAATCTCATGTTTATAATGTACCAAACTCCCCCAGAAGCATTTGGGTTTATTTCTGGGCTCTATTCTATTCAAGTAATCTATCTGTTCACAAGCCACTATCAATTTTGATTATTGGAGCATCCTAAAGTTAAGTAATTGTTGTTTTTGTTTTTGAGATGCAGTCTCTCACTCTGCCGCCCAGCTGGACTGCAGTGGCGTGATCTAGGCTCACTGCAAGCTCCACCTCCCGGGTTCATGGCATTCTCCTGCCTCAGCCTCCCGAGTAGCTGGGACTACAGGCACCTGCCACCACGCCTGGCTAATTTTTTGTATGTTTAGTAGAGATGGGGTTTCACCTTGTTAGCCAGGATGGTCTCGATCTCCTGACCTCGTGATCCACCTGCCTCGGCCTCCCAAAGTGCTGGGATTACAGGCGTGAGCCACCGCGCCTGGCCCTGAATTTGCTTGAGTTTTTAGCTCTCTCACCCATTTCAGGATTGTCACCACCCATATCTGACACGTCCTCCTCCTCCTCTAAATCTTCTAGGTCCTCCTGGCCATCAGCCTCTGTTTCTGAACCAGCCTCTTCATGCTCCTGTTCTTCACTCTCTGGGAGAAGACTGATATCTTCATCTTTCTTTCACTAACCGCATTCTGGAAGCACGGTAAAATTGCTTCATTTTGCAATTCCAGTTGTTGCAAAGTCTGCTCATCATCAAAACTTTCTATCACAAGTTTTTGTAAAGAGCTGCCATGGATTCTACCATTCTCTACTGTTTTATTAAAGTCATAAAGCACTTTTGTTAAAGAAGTGAACTTTGGTTCCAATCCATCTTGAAACCTATTGGGAGGAATTAAATGAGATTTAGAATTATAGATAATAATTTCACAGCCCTCTTAATTAAAAGAAAAATAAAAACCTCAACTCTTCTGTAAAATCAAATTTGAATAAAGTGTAAGTATAGATTCTGGCCCCAACAATATATAAGCTGATGAGCCACAATGATATATAAAACCTGTCAACCAAGTATTTGTGAATCAGCTGTATAGATTGTTGGCAGGAAAAGCATTACAAATCTATTTGCTTGGAGATATATAGTGAATTAGCCTTAAATTATCTACTCTGCTACATTATATACCACTCCATTCATTCATTCCCTTATTCACTCAATGATCAACATTTGCTTTGGCTACAGTGGTCAAGGAAAACCTCTCCTAGATGTGACATCTGAGATGAAACTTACAGACAAGTATAGTCTTATAAAGATTGGGAAACATGTATTCCAGGCGGAAGAAACAGCAAGAACAAATTCTCTAAGATGCAATTGAGCTTGGTAAGCCTGAGGAATAAAAAAAGTGAGCATGGCTATAGCGTGAAGGAGGCAGAAGGTGAAGTTGGAGAGACTGATGGGAGCCAAATTCTGCAGGGCTCAAGGGTAAGAGTTTGCCGTTTTAAGTGTAATAAGAAAATATGAGAAGATTTTAAGCAGAAGGATGAAATGATGATTTATACGAAGGAAGAAGAAAGGGAGGAAGGAGGAGGAGGAAAGTAGAGTGATTAGAAGGTTGATGCAGCATTCCAGGCAAAGGATGATGGTGATTTAAGCTGGAGTTAGAGCAGTGAATATGCTGAGTACAGTTTGGAGGTAGAACTGACAGGATTGCTAAGGAATTAGATACAGAATAGAGAAAAGTGAAGACATCAAAATAGCAGCCTAGTTTTATGTGCGAGCAACTGGAGAGACAGAACTGCCATTTAGTGCGATAGGCAAGGCTTGAGTGGTGGAGCAAGGGGAAAGGACTTCAGCGGATGGCAGAGTGTAGGTGGGTAGAAACAGCATTCTACTGTATTTTGGACACAGTGAATTTGTGATGCTGAGAGGACCAAAATTTAAAAAATTGTTAAAAACCGTACGGTGCGGATATCCCAGTTGTGCGCTACTGAATTCCAACTAAGCTCAGTCTGGAGTTGCTTGTGAGCAAGGAACTCAAGGGAGAGGTTGGAGTTTGAAACATAAATGAGTCATAATTTTATAGGTCATATTTGAAGTTCTTCAACAAAATACACATAAAACGTTTGTGTTGGGAAGAGACATGAAAGTTCTAATTCTCAAGAAGCTTAGTGGGGTAGACAGACAAGTGACAAGTTTGTGTTTTCAATAAAGTATGATGGCAGGTAAACACTGAGTGCTTTAGGAGCACAGGCGGAAGGAGAAACCAACACAGTTGTGTGTAGGGGGATGGGGGCCGTAATAAGCCTCAAGGGGAGCTTATAGGCGTGAATAACTGAGGTTAGGTTGATTTCAATAACATTCAACTGAGAGATCCATACTGTAAAAGTTTTAACAATTTTTAAAATTTTGATAGCCTAGGTCCTCTGAAATGTGGGGAAAAGTGATTTACATTTCCCCTTACCTTCCCCCAGCTCCACAATTTGCCAGGGGTCTGCAACCCGTGTCCACGTGCGACCGCAGTCGCACCCAAGCCCGGGATCTGTGCACTTACGTGAGGATGCTCTCGGGCCAGCCAGTGGCTTTGCCCACCTCCCTCAGACACCGCTCCAGGGTCCGTCAGCGCCAGGCCCATGGGCCATGGCTGTCTGCAACTCCCGACACAAGCTGCAAGGCAAGAGAGCCGCTGGGAAACCGCACCGCAAGGATGCTGGCATTGGAACAGGAATTAAAAGAAATGAAAAAATGTGTAAGCAAAAACTCAGCTGTATGTAAAAAAAAACCAATTCCCCCTGAGAATGAGAAAGAGCCTTAGTCCTTTAAAAAAACTACCTGTTTTCCTATGGCTAGTGAGCCTTATCGCTCCCTTCCCAGGCATTATCAAAACCCTAATTCCCTAACTGTGCAACTGCAAGGTCACTAAACAAACGAATGCAAGTCACAAAACATATTTTTCCTAAAAACATAAAAAAAAAAAAAAACATAATGCGTGCTTCAATTAAATAACCCTCTGTTTCTCGCTTCTGTAATATGCTTCCCCCTGCACAGATCTACCCGGGCTCCACAAAATGCTAAAAGATAACTCTTTATTCAGCTCAACGCTTTGATCTGCCTGGCGTGGTGGCTCACTCTTGTGATCCCAGGACTTTGGACGGCCAAGTAGGGTGGATCGCTTGTGCCTTGGAGTTCCAGACAGGCCTGGGCAACATGGTGAAACCTGGTCTTTTTGTTTTGTGTTGTTTTGAGACGGAGTTTCGCTCTTGTTGCCCAGGCTGGAATGCAGTGGCTGGGTCTCTGCTTGCCGCGACTTCCGCCTCCCGGGTTTCGGTCGTTGTCCTGCATCAGCCTCCAGAGTGGCTGGGATTGCAGGCATAAGCCACCAAGCCCGGCTAATTTTGTATTTTTTTTTTATTTTTATTTTGGTACAGATGGGGTTTCTCCCTGTTGGTCAGGCTGGTCTCAAACTCCCGACCTCAGGTGATCCACCTGCCTAGGCCTCCCGAGGTGCTAGGATTGCAGGCTTGAGCCACCGCTCCCGGCCCAATTTGTTAATCAGAAAGGAATAGATCGTCCTGGTGTGGTGGCTCACGCTTGTGATCCCAGTACTTTGGATGGCCCAGCGCGGGGTATCCCTTGAGCCTAGGAGTTCCAGACCTGCCTGGGCAACATGGTGAAACCCGGTCTCTCTCTCTTTTTTTTTTTTTATGAGGCGGAGTTTCGCTCTTGTTGCCCAGGGTGGAGTGCAGTGGCTGGGTCTCCGCTCGCAGCGACTTCTGCCTCCAGGGTTTTAGTAGTTCTCCTGCCTCAGTCTCCGGAGTGGCTGGGATTGCAGGCCTGACCAACATTGCTCTGCTAATTTTTTTTTATTTGTTTTTGGTAGAGACGGGGTTTCTCCATGCTGGGCAAGCTGATCTCAAACTCCAGACCTCAGGTTATCCGCCCACCTCGGCCTCTGGGGATGCTGGAATTGCAGGCGTGAGCCAGCGCACACACCCAATTTATTTTTATTTCATTTTTTATTTTTATATATATATACTTTTGAGACGGAGTCTCACTTTGTCACCCAGGCTGGAGTGCAGTGGTGCGCTGTCTCGGCTCACTGCAACCTCTGCCTCCCAGGTTCAAGTGATTCTCCTGCCTCAGCCGCCTGAGTAGCTGAGATTACAGGCGCCCGCTAGCACACCCATCTAATTTTTATTTATTTATTTATTTATTTATTTATTTTGTATTTTTAGTAGAGATGGGTTTTCATCATGTTGGCCAGGCTGGTCTCGAACTCCGGACCTCAGGTAAACCCACCTCGGCCTCCCAAAGTGCTGGGATGACAGGAAGGATCGGCCTGGCGTGGTGGCTCACGCTTTTGATCCCAGGAGTTTGGACGGGCCGAGCGTGGCGGATCCCTTGATCCTAGGAGTTCTAGACCAGCCTGGGCAACATGGTGAAAACCGGTCTCTCTCTCTCTCTCTCTTTTTTTTTTTTTTGAGGCATAGTTTCCCTCTTGTTGCAGGGCTGGAGTGCAGTGGTGCGGTGTCGGCTCCCCGCGGCCTCTGCCTCTGGGTTTGGGTGGTTCTCCTGCCTCAGCCTCCGAGTGACTGGGATTGCAGGCGGGAGCCACCATGCCCGGCTCTTTTTTTTTTTTTTTTTCTGGTAGAGACAGGTCTCTCCATGTTGGTCAGGCTGGTCTCAAACTCCCGACCTCAGGTGATCCGCCCGCCACGGCCTCCCGGGGTGCTGGGACTGCAGGCGTGAGCCACCCTCCTGGCCCAATTTATTAATCAGAAAGAAATAGATCGGCCTGGCGTGGTGGCTCACGCTTTTGATCCCAGGACTTTGGACAACCGAGCGTGGGGAATTGCTTGAGCCTAAGAGTTCCAGACCTGCCTGGGCAACATGGTGAAAATCTGTCTCTTATTATTATTATTTTTTTTTTTTTTTGAGGCGGAGTTTCCCTCTTGTTGCCCAGGCTGGAGTGCAGTGGCTGGGTCTCCGCTCGCGGCGAATTCTGCATCCCGGGTTTTGGTGGTTCTCCTGCCTCAGCCTCCTGAGTAGCTGGGATTACAGGCACCTGCCGCCACACCCGGCTAATTTTTTTTTTTTGTATTTTTAGTAGAGACGGGTTTTCATCATGTTGGCCAGGCTGGTCTCAAATTCCTGACCTCCGGTGATCCACCCACCTCCGCCTCCCCAAGTGCTGGGATGACAGGCGTGATCGGCCTGGCGTGGTGGCTCACGCTTTTGATTCCAGGACTTTGGACTGGCCAAGCGTGGGGGATTGCTTGAGCCTAGGAGTTCCAGACCGGCCTGGGCAACATGGTTAAACCCAGTCTTTTTTTAAATTCCTTTATTATTATTATTATTTTTTTTTTTTTTGAGACGGAGTCTCTCTGTCGCCCAGGCTGGAGTGCAGTGGCGCTATCTCGGCTCACTGCAGCCTCTGCCTCCCAGGGTCAAGGGATTCTCCTGCCTCAGCCTCCTGAGTAGCTGGGATTACAGGCGCCCACCACCACACCCGGCTAATTTTTTTTTATTTTTTAGTAGATCGTGGTAACTGCCTTAAAATGATGATTGTTCAGAAAGTCAGTTTAATTTAGATACTAAGGATATTGAGGTTATGTAACATTTGAGCAAGTTCTAAAAAAAAAGAGAAATAGTATATTTAATTGCTAATAAAGTATTGTCAACTCACAAATATATTCACATAGCATACATTTCAAGAGCAGAATAACCATGAATATAAAAGGAATTAGCAAAAACGAGACAAAAAAGACATGAAGAAATAAAAACAGATGGAACAAATAGCACAAAATACGATGAAAGTTATAAAAGAAACTATGCCAACAATCACAATAAATGTAAATAGACTGAATAATTAAGAGAAAATGACTATAAAACAGAATTAGGGCACGCGTGGTGGCTCATGCCTGTAATCCCAGCACTTTGGGAGGATGAGGCAGGCGGAGGGATCACAAGGTCAGGAGTTCGAGAGCAGCCTGACCAACATGGTGAAACCCCATCTCTGCTAATACAAAAATTAGCCGGCGTGGTGGTGAACATCTGTAATCCCAGTTACTCAGGAGGCTGAGGCAGGAGAATCGCTTGAATCCAGGAGGCAGAGGTTGCAGTGCCGAGATCACACCATTACACTCCAGCCTGGGCAACAGAGCAAGACTCCGTATCAAAAAAAAAAACACACAAAAAAAACACAAAAAACAGAAAATAAACAGTATGAAAAGACATCTAAAACATAAAGTCACAGAAAGACTGAGAGAGATTGAAAAAAGATACACATGTCATATGTACCCAACCCAAAGAAGGGTTGGAAGCTATATTATTATCAGATAAAATAGGCTTTGGGCAAAAAGCAATATGGGAGATTTTTTAAGGTCACAATATGATGATAAAAATTCTAATAAACCAAGGGAGAAGGTAATCTAAAATGTTAATGTATCTAATAACTAGCACTCAAAATACATGAAAGCAAAATATGACAAAATTGCAACCCTCAGAGGGCAATTTAAATACATATCTCAGTATCTGATAAAAGAGACAAAAAACAATCAGCATAGACATAGAAGATTTACATCTCTCTAGAAAATTAACAAGCTTGACCTAATGTAGAGAAAAAACATATCTCTCCAAAGTGACAGCATTCACCCCCCCCAAGTACATATGTACTGAGCCATAAGGAAAATCTCAACAAATTCCAAAGAAGCGGAATCATGCATCCATCTTTCTCTCTAACCATAATCTCATTAAACTAAAAACAATAATAAAAAGATAAAGTAAAAAGCCAGAAAGGCAGATGCTAAATGAGAAAGTGACAGAAAAGTTACAGATTTTGTTAAGCATACAAAGCTTCTATAGGGTAAAGCAGTCAAAGGGATATGCAAATTTACACAGAAATCCAACCGATATAAATCCTTGAAAGATACTACATACAGATATTTCATCAGTTCTCACATGCCAAACCCAGCAAAGCCAAACTTTGGAGCCTCCCCTGCGAGCAGACCTGCCACAGGAGGAGAGGCAGCACAAACCTCCCTTTGCAGTGAAAATGCCACATTGTGTGTGCTTCTTACCCCATCACCTCTTTGGAAGTGGCCCCACTCAGTGCTAGCTGAGAATCGCTTCCCTCATACCACTCTCAGTAGTTCACCCCAAGACACACTGGACAACTCTGTACCTGGTAAGTCATTGTGAATCCAATTAATAATGGCATTCAGAAAGTTAGGAATCTTTGAATTATTAGATTCATAGTGATATTCAAAAGAAAGAAAACGACATCATTTCTGTTCCACGCATGTTGCCCACATTCACTGCGTAAAAGGCAAAGGGAACTGTGAGTACCCACAAAGAACCTGATATTGACGGCACATACATTTCTTCATTAGGAAGAATAAATTTAGACTGTAACAATTTAAAAAACCAGAAAATACAACTGTACATTTTAGCTCTTATTAAAATCCAAGAGGTTTAACTTATTTGCTCCTTGTTTAGGTAATTAGTGTCTAAAACATTTCAAAGATAACATATATAGTGGCTACGATTTCTAGTACTTTTTAAAAATTCAAGCCCAGTCTCTTCTAATTAAATGTATAAATGATTTATCTCTGTCTTTCTTAAAAAGAACCAAGAGCCCCAATTAAAAAGTAAAACTTAAATTTCCTCTTAAAAAATTGTTACGTCAAAATTATCGAATAAACCATAGTTCAGAAAATAATTTCTGAATTAAGAAAATATGAATAATAAAACCAACAGTTTATGTGCTGAATTTCAAATTTTTATTTTTTATTATTTTTAAAATTTTGTTTTAAGTTCTAGGGTACATGTGCAGGAGTGTTACGTAGGGAAACGTGTGCCATGGTGGTTTGGTCCACCTATCAACTCATCACCTCAGTGTTAAGCCCAGCACGCATTAGCTATTTTTCCTGATGCTCCTCCCCCACCCGCCCTGACAGGCCCCAGTATGTGTTGTTTCCCTTCCTGTGTCCATGTGTTCTCATTGAACCTCACATTTTTAAATACAGCATATGCCAGGTGTCATTTCAGTACCCATGATTATACATAGTATAATTATACATAGTATATGTATATGTGTAAATATATGTATATGTGTACATATATGTATGTAATATGTGTATGTAAATATTATGTAAATATGTATGTATGTAAGTATATATGTAAATATGTATGTGAATGTATGTAAATATATACACATGTAAATATGTATGTAAAAATATGTACGTAAATATATGTATATATATAAATGTAAAATATGTAAATATTTGTAAATGTAAAATATGTAAATGTAAAATAAATGTAGAATGTCAAATGTAAATGTAAAATGTAAAATAAATGTAAAATGTAAAATAAATGTAAAATGTAAATGCAAAATATGTAAATATATGTATATGTGTAAATATATGTGTGTAAATATATATGTATATGTGTAATATATATGTATATGTGTAAATATATATGTATATATAACACAGCATACAGCATATGCCAGGTGTCATTTCAGTACCCATAATTATACATAGTATAATTATACATAGTATAATTAGACTACTATGTTAGCTAAAAAATGTTGATTAGATACAAATGTATAAATTTATCTTCTCTAAAAGTGGAAATTCTCTAGAGGCTATTTCCAGCTTCTGTGTGGATTGTAGAGCAGGCTGCTACCTGTACCCCAAAAATGAACACCTTAAAAAAAAGACAAGTTTCTCAGCCTCCCTATTGCACACACATATGAAAAATATGTTAAATTCAACGCCAACTATTCCTGAGATCAACACAGCAGTGATCCCAAAGAGAAAATTTCTCTTTGCTAATGGGCACAAACTTGAAGGGCAAAGCAGTGGAAGGGTAAGTCTGCAGACTCGGGTGGGGCTCAAGTCAGAATCACGTGGAAGATCATTGCCACATGTTTTTGTTTTTTTAAATAGCAAACACCACCAAGTGGAGCCCGCCGGGTTTAGTAGATATTAAACCTCTAAGGAGTGGCACATCCGAGACTGAAATTCCCATCTTTTGATTCCCAGCTCAAGGTCTCTGAAATGCCAGCACCAGCTGTGAAATTGTTCTTCTGCATTTTCATGGAGACCTTTTCTTCTATACTGCCATACTCTTTTTTTTGGAACAGTTATACCTGATCTTCCTATTTTTGTGTGTGTTCCACCGAAAGTTTTTCACTCTAAATACTTCCCTCTTTCCAACTGAGCATTTACATCTGTAACAAGGACAAAAACATCTAACATCTCTCTCACCCTTGGTTTGTGTTTTGTTTTGTTTGTTTTTGAGACAGGGTCTTGCTCTGTCACCCAGGCTGGAGTGCAGTGGCGTGATCACCGTTCACTGCAGCCTCGAGCTCCTGAGCTGAAGCAATTTTCCCACCTCAACCTCTGAGTAGCTGAGACTATAGGTGTGTGCCACCACGCCTGGCTAATATTTGTATTTTTTGTAGAGATGAGTTTTTGCCATGTTGCCCAGGCTGGTATTGAACTCCTGGCTTAAGTGATCCTCCTGCCTAGGCTTCCCAAAGTGCTGGAAGGAATTACAGGTATGAGCCACCGTGCCTGGCCTCACCATTGTTAAAATTATGGAAATCGTGTTTGCAAAGCAGCTTGGCCTGTTTGGAAAAGGGTGTCATAATTTCTCAGGTAACTCCAAAAAGAGAAAGCTACGAAAATTACTTTAATACATTCATTACAGTCTCAGTATAAGATTATAGCTTCCTCTCCCAAAGCGTAACCACAACCTGACGCAGGATGAGTTGGTTTGAAAATACCGCATACAATATCCTCTTGAGTAGAATCATAATTTAGAACTCTAAAACTGACCAGAAACAAAACTGTCCAAGTTTGTTTAACGTAATGTGTTTCAACTTATTTGACTAGAAAACCCTTCATTCGTGCAACACTTATAAACATCCCATGGCAAATCTAGTTTTCTATGAATAATGAACAAAACATTTATAATTTAAAACTAAAATTGTCTTCTAAGCAGAGATCTACGTATCAATAAAATGAAGAAATAAAATTTCCATACTGTTTTCTTCCCAATACAAGGATTAGAAGGAAAGGGAAAAGAGTAACAGCGAGAATCAATAGCCCATGTCTGGCCAGGCTCCATGGCTCAATCACACCTGTAATCCCAGCAATTTCAGAAGCTGAGGCGGGAGGATCACTGGCCTTTAGTGATCCTTGAATGAAACTCCATCTCTAAAAAATTAAAAATATTAGCTTAGAGAATCATTTGGGCCCAGGAGTTTGAGGCTGTATTGAACTATGACTATGCTACTGCATTCCAGCCTGGGCAACAGGCTGCTTAAACCTGGAGGGGCGGAGCTTGCAGTGAGCCGAGATCGTGCCACTGCACTCCAGCCTGGGCAAAGGAGCCAGACTCCGTGGCAAAAAAAAAAAAAAAAAAAAAGAGATTCTATTCACAATAGCAACAAAACCCTGAGAATATATCTAGCAAAGTATACACAAGGCCTTTCATGAAGAGTATTGCCATAGCCTGAATGTGTCTCCCAAAATTCATGTATTAAAACTTAATTCCCAAGATGATAGTACTAAGAAGTGGGGCCTTTAAGAAGTGATTAAGACATAAGGGTGAGCCCTCATGCATGAGATTAGTGCCTTCCTTATAAAAGGGCTTGTGGGTGGTGGTAAATCTGTCCCTTCTGCCTCATGAGAACATAGCATTTGCCTGCTCCAGAGGAAGCAGCATTCAACGTACCATCTTGGAAGCAGAGACCAGGCCCTCACTAGACACTGTGTCTGCTGGAGTCTTGATCTTGTTCTTCCCAACCTCCAGAACTGAGAAAATAAACTTCTGCTCTGTGTAAATTACCCAGTCTCAGGTGTTTTGTTATAGCACTATGAAGGGACTAAGACAAATATAAAAATTACCCAGGGACTTAAAGGAAGAACTGACTAAACTGAAATACATGCCATATATATTATGAATCGTAGGACTCAATGCTATAAACATACTACTTCTCAACAAATTAATCTATAAATTCAAGAAATTCCTACACAAATCCCAATAGAATTTTTTTGTGGAACTCGAGAGGCTCATCCTAAAATTCATACAGTCACTTGAGGGGCCAAGAATAGTGTAACAGGGCTGGCGGGGCTGGTGGCTCACACCTGTAGTCCCAGTACTTTGGGAAGTCAAGACTGGAGGATGGTTTGAACCCAGGAGTTCAAGACCAGCCTAGGCAACATAGCAAGATGTTGTCTCAAAATATTAAAAATAAATAAATAAATAAATAAATAAATAAATAAAAAGAAGGTTAAGTATGCACATTTTGTTGTGAATTTCAATTTTATAGTGTTTTTTTTTTTTTTTTTGAGACAGGGTCTTGCTCTGTCACCCAGGCTGGAGTGCAGTGGTGCCATCTTGATTCACTGCAACCTCTGCGTGGGCTCAAGCAATCCTCCCGCCTCACTCTCTGGAGTAGCTGGGACCACAGTTATGTGCCACCACACCTGACTAATTTTTATATTTTTTTTTTGTAGAGATGGGGTTTTTCCATGTTGCCCAGGTTGTTCTCAAACTCATCCACCTGCCTTGGCCTCCGTAAGTGAGATCACAGACATGGGCCACTGTGCCCGGTCTAGTGCGCTTTTTTTTTTTTTTTTTTTTTTTAACCAAACAAACGATGAAGTCTCAGGAGTAAAAGTTGATACACAAGTAAATTTTATTGGTAATGTTTTTGTGTGGTCTTTAAGCAGAGGGAAAATTAGTCTGCATTATGGTGTATCCAGACTAAATAACTGATATTAAAATGAAATTATCCTTAGGATTTGCAATCTTAGAGAAAACTTTTTCATTTTTTTTGAGTTACAAATTATCTTCACTTACATTTGAGAACAGTGAGTCACAGAGGGATTAAGTATCTTACTCAAGATCTTGCAAGTGTTTGGTTTGAACCCAATCTTTTCACTCTGCAGAACTCAGAGTCACTCTTATTTGGAAACTTTTTAACTGATGTGGATCCTCTAATATGGGCTTCCTATTATTCATTCCGTATTAGTCAGAAGTTTTGCAAGCAGGCAGAATTCATTTTGCCAATTACGGGATTTTCCCTCAGTTGCAGTCAAGGTTCATAAAACTATAACTATTTATCTTTAATTATAAATTTTGTTTTTGAGACAAAGTCTTGCTCTGTTGCTCAGACTGGGATCCAGTGGCACAGTAACAGCCCATTGCAGCTTTGAACTCCTGGGCTCAAGGGATCCTCCGCCTCAGCCTCCCAAGTATCTGGGACTACAAGTGCATGCCATCATCCCTGGCTAATTTTGTTAAAAAAAAAATTGTAGAGATAGGGTCTTGCTTCGTTGCCCAGGCTGGTCTCAAACTCCTGGCCTCAAGCAAGTCTTCAGCCTTGGTCTCCCAAAGGGCTGAGATTACAGGTGTCAGCCATTGCACCTGGCCAAAACTGTAACTATATATACACACACACATAACTACATATATATGTGTGTGTGTATGTATGTGTGTGTGTATATATATTTTTATATATAAATAGATATATCTGAAAGGCATCAAAAGAAAAAAGCTGTAACTTTTAGTCTTGATCTTGATAGTGACTTGATTAGGCTATCTGTTTAACATCAAAGATGCAAATTAATGCTTTCTTTGGGTGAGCATATTAAAAATGCAGAAAATATTGGAGTAGTTTTTTATGTTAAATAAATTGTATTCTGTGTATTTAAGGTATACAACATGATTTTATGGGATGCATATAGATGGTTAAAAAAAATTACTACAGTGAAGCAAATTAACGTATCCTTCAACTCAGATAGTTACCCGTTTTCTTTTTGTTTGGTGGCAAGAGGAGCTTAAAATCTCATTTAGCGTGAATCCCAAATACAGCACAATTTTATTACCTATATTTCTCGCGTTGTACATTATATTTCTAGGCTTGTTCATCCTACATATCTGCTACTGTGTAACCTCTGAGCTATGTCCACCCATTTTCTCTCTTGCCCCCCAAGTAATTTCCTAAAGTGTCTCATATAAAAAGGCAGTAGCTTTCAGCTTAAACTTTTTCTCTGTATATATTTAAGTCAATTTCTTTGAGGTATGTTTTTCTCTCCAGAATAGTTAGATGTAGGCATACCACTTTAATGTTGACACTAGTTCACCTAGAACTTATCTTCTGCAAATCTGTCTCTATGTCCATCTCTGTCTCCATCTTTGTCTCTATCTTTATCTCTGTCTATCTATCTATCCATCCATCCATCCATCCATCTATCTATCTATCCATCTGTCTATCTAACTAAAGCAAATTCATGCCCTTCTCCTATTTATGGAATCGAGACCATAAACAGAGGTGAGGGAAAGAATTTGGCAGGAATTGCGATGTGTATTACCTGTGGCATAAGGAAACTTTACAGAACTAGGGTCAAAAGTATACTTTCTAGTTCTTTCCCATGGCTTTTCACTTTGATGTAGTCCTTATCAGGCAACTGAGGTTTTATATAAGTCCCCTGATTCTTAGAACATGAAGGTGTAGTATTCAAGTTTGGTCCCTTGAAACCACAATTTTTGTTAAAAAAAATTAAGAAAATTGTATAATTTCCTCAGCAAATACATATTGATCATCTGTTATACAGCCATGAGAAGTGGTTCTGTTGAACACGTTTATTTTATCAGATCCCAATTCTAAACCAGGCATAGAATGGAAACCATGAAGGTAGGATGAAATAACTTCTGAATGTTTGAAAATAGTGTACTTAAAAATAAATATCAGGTGTTTTTGTTTTGTTTTTTGTTTTTTGTTTTTGAGACAGGGTCTCACTCTGTCACCCAGGCTGGAGTGTGGTGGTGCCATCTCACCTCATTGCAGCCTTGACCTCCCAGGCTCGGGTGATCTCCCACCTCGGCCTCCCAAGTAGCTGGGACTACAGGCACATGCCACCATGCCCAGCTAATTTTTTGTATTTTTTGTAGAGACAGGGTTTCACCATGTTGCCCAAGCTGGTCTAGAACTCCTGGGCTTAAGCGATCTTCCCACCTCAGCCTCCCAAAGTGCCAGGATTACAGGCATGAGCCACCATGCCTGGCTGAAAATACCAGGTTTTTAAGTATCAGCACTGCCTCTTCAATCTTTTCTATTACTATGTTGTGCTCAGTGGTATTTTTTATTGAATTAGAGCAGTGCTGTTCAATGGAACCTTCTTTGAGGATGGAAATCTTTTATGTCTCTGCTGTGTGGGTATGGTATTAGCTGGGTATGGGGCACCTGCCTATAGTCCCAGCTACTCAAGAGGCTGAGGTGGGAGGATCACTTGAGCCCAGGAGGCCGAGTCTGCAGGTTCGTACCACTGCAATTCAGCCTGTGTGACAGAATGAGACTCAGTCTCAGAATAAAATGAAATAAGGAAATAAAAATGTAATTGTTGAAATAAGAAACTAGTGGATGGATTAGACACGAGAAGAAAGAATTAATTGTTTAGGCGATTCTCTCCAAAAAGTAAGTCAGCATGTCACACAGAGAGACATGAGGATGGATGATAGGGCAGAAGTTGGTGGGCTTGGAGGGGAGAGGAAGATCAGAATGAGGTCCAAAATGTGTCTTAGTGAAATCCCAGGAGGAGATATTAAAATTATATTAGAAAGTGAAAGAAATAGAAGTTTTATTTATTTATTTATTTATTTTGAGAAGGAGTCTCGCTCTGTAGCCCAGGCTCGAGTGCAGTGGCACGATCTGAGCTCACTGCAAGCTCCACCTCCTGGGTTCACGCCATTCTCCTGCCTCAGCTTCCCAAGTAGCTGGGACTACAGGCACCCACCACCACGCCTGGCTAATTTTTTGTATTTTTAGTAGAGATGTGGTTTCACCTTTTTAGTCAGGATGGTCTCAATCTCCTGACCTCATGATCCGCCAGCCTCAGGCTCCTAAAGTGCTGGAATTATACGCATAAGCCACTGCACCCGGCCCAAAAGCTTTGTGTTTTTACAAATATTACACATGTTTCTTGTTTAAGAAAAAAAGTCTTCACAATAACGTAGGAGAATAAGAGAAACATTTTTCCAAAAAAGAGAAGTCATTGTGATTATTTTATCTTATTGGAATGTTGGATAATATAGTCTGCTTCAGTAATCATCAAGCATGCTATGGATTTTCCATGTTCATAGGATCTGTATCTCGGTTAAGGTAATACTGGTAATTTTTGTACTCTATGAAAAATATAGGCCAAAATCATAGACCTTGCATAGAAGCTGGATCATGAAGACAGCTCTGGAGGAACACACAGGTACACACACACAGACACACATATATATAAAGTATACACATATATATATTTTTAAAAGCTTTTAAAGCAAAAGCCGGCCCTGCCCCTCTCCCAGAGTTGGCGGCCTCTCCCCTCTCTTAGGGTGGGTGGGGACAGTGGTTGCCTGGGCAGCTTTCCTTGTGAGCCAAAGGTCCCTCTGGACACATGATGCCTGGCCACGCCCCCTTTCCCTTTCATCTTTCTCATTAACCAATGGGCTTGGAGCATTAAGGCCACGCCCCTATTCTGCCTTCTACTGCATCCCTGGTTACGCCTCCTCTGGCTCAGTCGCACAGCTACCTGGTAGGTGACTGGAGGTGTTGATCAGTGCTTGGTGGGATTTTGCTGATGTGGCCCCAAGCCCGCCTCCCTCCCCACCCTGCGATGGCAGAAGAAACTCGACAAAGTAAATTGGCAGCAGCCAAGAGAAAGGTAAAAACACACCAGGTCACGGACCCCCAACCCAGCCATAGATCCTCTCCAACGACAAGACTGCTGCCAGAGTCCATACCACTCCCGAGGTTCACCGGACTGGGACCCCCACACCGGTGCCTCTGGGCTACCCCCACCAAAGTTTTGTCAGTCAGCCCCACCCCTTCAGCAAGCAGCCCAGTCTCTGCCCTCACCAATCACCCCAGGGTGACTTTGGGCAGGTGAATCCTGGGGCTCCCCGCTCCTTTACTGGGCCCTCATCTCCTGCCACCCCAAGCTTGACCTCCCAGGGCTTTTTGGGCTCACATCTCCAAGGACCTGGGTCCCACAGCCCCAGACCCCACCCTCACCAGTCATCCCTGGGTGACTTTAGGCTGGTGAATCCTGGGGCTCCCTGCTGCTGACTCTTCCCTTCCCTCCTGCTGCCTCAAGGTGGACCTCCCTAGGCTGTGTGCACTGGTGTCTCCAAGGACCTGGGTCCCAGCTCTGTTTTTCCCTCCCCTATCATGGAGCGGTGACTCGGACATCATGCTGATGTGGTCCCTCCCCCTCACCAGGAAGAGTGGAATGTAGTGATGTCACGGTCCATCCAGTAACTGTCATTACTGCAAGACTGGCCTTTGATCTTATGACCCAGTCCCCTAAGCATTGCCACCCCATTTCTGGTTCCTCTTGTCACAGCACAAATTTCCAGCTGGAAGGGGAATGGAGATTGGGACCTAGGAGCAAGAGGTTTCAGGCTGCCTCACTCCCTTAGCATAAACATTGACAGCGGGAAAAGCCTACACTTCCCCTGTGAGCTCAAAACATTGACAGTACCTCTGGATGGCAACTGGAGAATGGGTTTGACTTGGTTTGGTTTTCTCCCAGGCTTCTACTTTCCAGAGAGATTTTAACAAATTTTTTGTGAGTTCTCCACCTCACATTCTAATTCTCCATGGTTCTGGGACCAGACTGCCCTTCAGCCAGTGGTCTGTGAAGTGAGATTTGCTCATCTTCTGTGGAATAGATCTTGGGAAACTGAACTTGACAGCTTGAATCTTCCTCATATTATGTAAACCTGGGGTACTTTGAGTGCCACAGGATACATATGGGACATCTTTCTGAAGCATCAGTTTCCATTGATTCTCTTGAGATCAAGAGAAAAAACATTAATGTACTTAGGGATGACAGTCACATAGGTTTCTAACAGTATACCAGACTTCTCTCTGAAATGAGGCTTGGGTTGTCCTCTTTCTGATAAATTCCCAGATTTAACAGAAAGGCTGCCTTCTGCCATGAGGACACATTGATATAAGAGTTTGAGAGGTACTGGTGCACTTCTTCACACTAACAGACGTGTGAGGATGTATGACTAAACCACATGGCATACAGTTCCTGCCTACTTAATGTTTACTTTTCTACCTCTGCCTCTGGTTTTGGTCCCTGGCAGCTGATGATTCTTGGTAAAACCCCAGAGTTTGGAGTCAGAAGACTGAGTTTCAAAGTTCGTCTGTCGCCTTTTTCTTTTCTTCTTTTTTTTTCTAGCCATGATATCAATCTCTTTGAGTCACTAAATGATTGTGACAACACCTTGTACAGTTGTTGGTATCATTAAATCAGATGGTGTATAAGAGTATTTTATAAAAACTGTAAAGGAGGATGTGGCTGCAGGGGCTGATAGTTCTCATGAGTATTACTGCTCTTATTTCTGACAGTTAAAAGAATATTGGCAGAGAAACAGCCCTGGTGTTCCAGCAGGAGCCAAGAGGAACAGGAAAACAAATGGCAGCATCCATGAGACAGCCACTTCTGGTGGTTGCCACTCACCTGGAGATGTGAGTCTTGGCTGACTAGGTTCCTGGGGACAGGGGACCCAAGGGGCACTAGAGGGTAATTGTTAAGATTGTGGATGGACTGTTGGGTACCTGTGAAGAATTCTGGGTTTGAATCCTGCCTCTTTGTCTGCTAGGGATATGAATTAGGGCAAGTTGCTAGACCTCATCGGGCCTCTCTTTTCACATCTGTATAATAGAGGTGGTATTGTTTCACTTCCATTTGTGAAGTTTAAATGAGATTTGTTATTGTTGTTTTTATGTTAATCCCTAGTACATGGCCTGCTGTAAACACCCAGAACACCCAGGATATGGTCATTGCTGTTCGATTTTCCTCATCCCCAGTCTCAAGGGGAAGCCAGGACAATGAGAACAGTCACTTGGCACAGGAGTCACTGAAAGGGCCACAGGGTGCTGTGGTGGGGAGATAAGAACCATGAGAGAAGTTGGCACAAAGGAGTTATGGGACAAAGGGTCCAAGATAGGCAGAAAAGAAAATTGTGCCAGTTGATGGGGAAGAAAAGAAGTCAGAGGGCTTAGATACTGAGTGGGACAGAACATCTTCATGTGCACTCTCATCTCTTGTAGTCAGCAACAGGTATCCACGGGGAGAGCCCTACATCATCTGCTACCCTGAAGGATCTGGAGGTAAGAGGCTCTGGGCAGAGGTGCAGTGACCCTGCAGGCCAGCCCTCCAACCTCCTCCTCCAGGTGGGATGGGGTGCCCCTCTGCCAGCTGAGACAGCCCACACACCCCAGCCCTAATGATTGCTCTCTCTACCTCTCCCCCCACTCCTCCTCCACCTCCTCCTCTCTGCATGCGCCTCAGAGCCCGTGCCAAGAACTAGCAGTAGTCCCAGACTCGAGGTCCGTAAAAGTCAGTCAACTGAAGAACACCATCAAATCTTTGGTAAGAGTCCACTGGGGTCCCCTGATTCCACGCTGCCAATCCTGGGCTCTAGTTTCCCCTTGGGGCCCTGAAGAAAGGGGACGGCGGCCCCTGGTGCCAAGGGCGAATAGGGAGCTGGGGCGCCCAGGCCTCACCTGGAGGGACCCCGGAGCATGCAGCATGGCTCTTTTTTTGCTGCCCTGTTTGCTGACTCTCCCCTCTCCAGACGCCCCTGCTCGAGTCCTTGCTACACACGCCCTGGGATTGTTGCCTCTTGGGGAAGTGCTAGCCTGACTGGTTGTCAGGGGCCCCGTATTTCTGCCATGACTCAGTCCCTAATTTGCTCTTTGATTCTGGACAAGCCACCTCTCCTTTTTGGGCTCATGTTTCCAGAGGAAGTAGTGAGTATCAAAGGTCTCTGTTAGCTCTCGAGTCTGAGATTTAAAGGCCTCCTAGAATGGAAACCTCAGGGCCAAAGGCTCCTGTCTGTCCTTTTCCGCCCTAAATCTTCTGTGAAGAACCGTACTTGGCCCGTACGTGCTCAGTAAATGTTTATTGAATGAATGCACTTTTCTAAATCACAAGCTGGCAGAAGGGGGGGCCTTTCTCAAACTCCATCTCTAGAGGTTTATGTTACTGTCCTGTCAAGAGATTCCAGATTCAGACCTTGAGTTCTGTGGCTGTGGACAAAAGCCAACAAAGACCCAAATCCTCTGTCCTTGGGAGCTTGAGGAGAGTTTACCAGTTCGAGTTCCCACTGGGTCTGAGAACTTTGCCTTTAAAATCCATTCCTGGCCCCTGCCTACCACTTCCTGCTCTGGGGAATAGAGTTGAGGGGGCCACCCTCCATCACCTTAATGTGACTCTCCCCACAGAAACAACAGAATAAACAAGTGGAACATCAGCTGGAAGAAGTAACATGATTTCTTTGTTTGCTCGCGACATGACTGCTCGGTTTGGGGGACACTCAGATGTAGAGGCCCCGAGTCTCGTCTCACCCACTCCCAGCCTGGGGAAGAAGGCTCACCCCCCAGAGTCCACCCCATCCCCCACAGGGTCCCTGATAACCCGGTCCCATGGGTGGGCCTGTCCCGGGGCAGGGGCAGTGGTGGCATTCTGGGGACATGTCTCTTGCAGTACCATCTCTGCCTCTGCCTGGTTAGATCTCTGTCTTCCTCTTCCTACAGGAAAAGAAAGCAAACAACGAGAAACAGAAAGCCGAAAGGGAGCTAGAGGTGAGTGGACGGTGTGCAGTTTTCTCCTGTCCTCCGGAGAATGTTTCTTTCCTTCTCTTTCAGCACTTGCTTGGCTTTTCTCCCAAAGGTTCAAATCCAGAGATTGAACATACAGAAAGGGAAACTAAATACGGACCTGTACCACACGAAACGTTCTCTCAGATACTTTGAAGGTGGGAATCTGGGTACCCTGTCATCCTTCAACCTGGCACTTTGACAGGTCTTCAGGGGGAGTCCTTTGGGCCCCATCTCAACTCTCTCATTACAGAAGAGTCCAAGGATCTGGCCGTCCGTCTGCAACATTCATTGCAGCGTAAAGGAGAGTTAGAGCGGGCTCTCTCTGCTGTCACCGCCACACAGAAGAAGAAGGCGGAGAGGGTGAGTCCAACCACCTGCCCCGTCCCCTGGGAGCCTGGCTTCGCAGACAGAGGAGTGAGCCTAAAGGTCCCTTCTGCAGGATGGAGTGTCCTGCCCAGAAGGCAGCATGGCCATTTCTCACTGCTTTTTTGTATGGTTGTTAGCGGCAGCTTGGGACTGAGTCAGCTGCTGTGGGTGAGTTGGGGGGCACTCTGGGGAGAGAGCACAGGACGTAGAGCTTGGAGGCCAAGTGCCTGCCATGCCTTTACCTGGCTGTGGTCTTGGCCAAGTCCTCAGTGGGTATTGGGTACTTGTACTGTGAAGGTACAGAAGAGTACCTTTAGTATGTTACCATTTCTGTAGAGAGAGGAAACGTGTGTGTGTGTGTGTACATATTATGATAATATACATAAAATATGTTTGCAAGTGTTCATAAAAACTCAGGAGAGAGCAACAGGGTGGCTGGGAGATACTTCCCTTCTGTACCTTCTGAGTTTGGGACTATGTGAATGTATTATCCTTTCAAAAAGTGAACAAAAGATTAATTTTCCCCTTCCTAGCTGTGCCCCCACCCCCAGCAAGAAAAATGGGCTTAGAGAATTGGATAGATCTGGGTGTTTAAATCCCAGCTCTGCCTAAGTGATCTTAGGCAAGCACTTAACCTCAAATACTCCATGTTTTTTCATCTACACAATAGAGGTCATCATAGTAACTGTCTCCCATGGTAGTTGCGAGGATTAAATGGGATTGCTAGCATGGTATCTGGTGAAGCACTCCATAAAAGTTCAAACAGTGGTAATAATAACAGTAATAACAATAGCAATATTATCTGATCTCTCTGGGCCTCTGTTAGCCAGCTATAAATTCGATCTCTTTCCCTGTCCCTTCCAACTTTACTGAGTTCTTTAAAAACCAAACCACGGGCTTGGAAATGCCTTGATCTTTACTGACCGAGTTGTATATTGGGCCTAGCCCTGGCCCTTTTAAGGGGCACTGTGTGGAATGGCCCGGCCTCACCAGATTGAAACTTCTCACTCTTCAGCAGTTCTCCAGCCGCAGTAAAGCACGTATGGAGTGGAAGTTAGAGCAGTCCATGCGGGAGCAGGCACTGCTGAAAGCGCAGCTGACACAGGTGAGGTGTTCAGAGGGAGGGATGTGGAAGGAAGATGACCCCAGGTAACCAGGAGCAGGTGAGGACCAGTGACAGCCCTTCCTAATTTCTGTGCCCATTCTTGCAGTTGAAGGAGTCACTTAAAGAAGTCCAGCTAGAGAGGGATGAATATGCTGAACATCTAAAAGGAGAGAGGGCCCGGTGGCAGCAGAGGATGAGAAAAATGTCGCAGGAGGTGAGATCTGACCCTTCAGCCCCCCCACATTAGATAGGTCACTGGATCTTTCTGGGCACCTGTAAAATGGGAATAGTAGAGCCAGAGGTGGTCCTGGGACTGGGCTTTGTGGAGGTGGGGGCAGAGAGGGAGATGGTAGCATGTCCAGCCTCCAGCCCCTCTCTCCAGGGCCCTTTCCCCCTGTGCTTTGGGCAGGTTTGCTCGTTGAAGAAGGAGAAGAAGCATGATAAATATCGGGTAGAGAAGCTGGAGAGGAGCTTGTCCAAACTCAAACACCAGATGGGTAAGATGGGGCTGGCGTGACCTGGCAGCAGGACTGGCATCAGAGGGCTGTGAGGGTGGCTTGGAGTGCCCCAGCGAGGTGGGTGGATGGAAGGGCTTTGAGGCAGAGGGAAAGAGGTCTGTGCCAGGAGACGGCAAGTCTTGTCATCTCAATGAGCCTCAGTGTCCCCATCAGCAAAGAGGGCCCGTTGTCAGCCACCCGCAGTGCTCTTTCTCTGAAAGTGCTTTGGAAGACTGGCTACCATCTGGGTGCGAGGAATCATTAGCAGTGAGGCTAAGTTTGAGGAGCCGGAGAGGAGCTGTGCGCCAAGAGGAGGGTTTTTTCTTTTCTTTTCTTTTCTTTTTTTTTTTTTGGAATCCAGAGGCTCTTATTGTCTGCTTCCTTTCTCAGCTGAACCTCTGCCCCCGGAGCCCCCAGCAGTGCCCTCTGAGGTGGAGCTGCAGCACCTGAGGAAGGAACTAGAGAGAGTGGCAGGAGAGCTCCAGGCCCAGGTGGAGTACAATCAGCGCATAAGTCTCCTGAATGAGGGGCAAAAGGAGAGGCTTCGGGAGCAGGAGGAGAGGCTTCAGGAGCAGCAGGAGAGGCTTCCAGAGCAGGAGGAGAGGCTTCAGCAGCTGGCCGAGCCACAGAACAGCTTCAAGGAGCTGGTGCGTTGCCCCAGCTGGGGAGCTTGCCCTCCTCCCTAGCCCTCCAGGCCTTTGTTTCCCCACCTATAAAATGGGGCAGTGTAGCCCTCAAGTGAAATGTTACTCCTAAAGGCACCTGTGAGCCAGAGCCCTGCTCTGGTGGCTGTGGGAGACAGGGGATGATTTTTCTAACCTGCCTCCACCCTTCCCGGTGCCATGGGAGGCAGTCACCAAGTTCTGGGGTCTCCAGCTGCAGTGGGTGGCTGCTGATTGCTTCTCTCTGTCCAGAACAATGAGAACAAGAGCGTACTACAGTTGGAGCAGCAAGTAAAGGAGCTGCAGGAGAAGCTAGGCAAGGTGAAGGAGACGGTAACCTCCACCCCATCCAAGAAGGTCTGGGAGGTGGGTGGGCACCAGCCTCTGGGGAGGGGAGGTGCCAGGCCAGCGGTAGCTCCAGCCCGGGGGCAGGTGACCCCAGCACCCTCCAGGGCAGTCCTGTGGCTGTTTCTTGCTTCCTGCCCTCTGATTTTAGAGGTGGGTAGCCCTGGGCTCCTCCCAGGTCTGGACATCATCATTCCAGCTAGAGACATGGAGCCCCCCCAATCACAGGGGAAGAGACAGAGTGGTATAACAGTCTTCTTATGCCAGATGCGGTGGCTTACGCCTATAGTGCCAACACTTTGGGAGGCTGAGGCAGGAGAATCACTTGAGGTTTGGAGTTTGAGATCAGCCTGGCCAACATGGTAAAACCTCATCTCTACTAAAATTACAAAAACAAAAAACAAAAAAAGAAAGAAAAATTAGTGGGGCATGGTGGTGGCGCATGCCTGTAATCCCACCTACTCAGGAGGCTGAGGCACGAGAATTGCTTGAGCCCAGGAGGTGGAGGTTGCAGTGAGCTGAGATTGCACCACTGCACTCCTGCCTGGGCCACAGAGTGACACTCTGTCTCAAAACAAAACAAAAAGACTCCTTAGATTAAAACTGGATTCCAGCCTCAGTTCCACTGGTCACCATTCAAGTACTTCGCATCTCTAAGTCTCTGTTTCTTTAACTTCAAAAGGAAGTTAGCATTTTCCTTACAGAGGTGCTGAGGATTAAATGAGATAATACATGGGAAGCATTAGGCCTGTAGCACATTTAGCAGATGGTGGTTGGCTCCCATACTTTTCTACCATTCTGTGGCCTACAGTTGAAATGGTGGGAAGAGGACATGAGATTTGAGGCTGGGGAAGGAGGCATGGGGTTCTAGGAAAGCAAGGCAGTCACTTAGGCCTGAAGTAAGGGGCCAGGGGCCTGGGCAGGCGACAGAGCCCCACAGTGCCCTCGCTACCCTATTAATGGGCCCAGAATCTGCAAACCAGCCACCACGTGCCCTCACACCCAGGGTCTTCCTGCAGGTGGAGCTGAAGAGCCAAGAGGCTCAGAGTCTGCAGCAGCAGCCAGACCATTACCTGGGTCACCTGCAGCAGTACGTGGCCACCTATCAGCAGCAGGTGGCCGCCTATCAGCAGCTGACCTGTGAGAAGGAGGCGCTGTACAGGCAGTGACTGCAGCAGACCCAGCTAATGAACCAGTTGCAGCAGCAGGAAGCTTGGGGCAAAGCGGTGGCCGAGATGGCCTGCCAAAAGTTGCAGGAGACCCAGGGGAGGGAGCTGCCGAGGATGGGGCTGTGAGGGGGACGACCTGGCAAACTCTGTGCCTTCTCACTCTTTCCTGGCCCCTTAGGAGCGTCTGGAAGCTGCGAGCCAGCAGAAACAGCAGCTAACGGCCCAGTTGAGCCTCATGGCTCTCCCTGGGGAAGGTACGGGAGACCGCTCAGAGGAAGAGGAGAGAGCCCCAGGAGGAAGGGGGGACTGCTAGCAGCATAGGATTGAGGAGTTGGAAGAGACCTTTAGAACAGCTGGTCATTATACTAACCGGGTGCCTGCACTAAGTTCAGCATCAATATGGTGACCTCCTGTGAGCGGGGGGCCACCAAGTTGCCTAAGGATGGCTGAACTGGCCGAGGTCAGAAAGGGAGCAGGTCAGAACTCCCGCACCGACCAGTAGTGGGAATGTGCCTGGGCAGTATAGCAAGATCTTGGTTCTTCAAAGTAAAAATAAATAACAGCAGCTCATTCCTCTCTGGGGAGGGCCTGGCTCAGGGTTACACAATGAGGGTGGAGGCAGAGGTGGGCCCACAATACTTCCCTTGTTGAGTTGTCTGAGGACCCCTCTGGCCACCACCCCCACCCCCAGGAGATGGAGGAGGACATCTGGACAGTGAGGGGGAGGAGGCACCTCGGCCCATTCCTAGCATCCCACAGGACCTGGAGAGCAGGGAGGCCATGGTAAGCCTGACTCCACCTGAACCCATTTTGCCTCCTTCCTCTGTGGTCCCTCCAAGACCCCTTTATGCTCTTCGTTTCCCTGCCTTCTGATTTCTCTGGACCCTCACCCCTTCTGGGAGCCAGTGGTCAGACACCATTTCACCTGTGACCAACATGTGCAGTCTCTGGGGCCCCAAGGGAAGGGGCTGCGCTCCACCTCTCTGCCCCATTTGTTCTGTGTATGCCCCTGCAAGAATGCTCACATCTTGCCCTCAGGTGGCATTTTTCAAGTCCGCTGGAGCTAGTGCCCAGGAGAAGCAGGCACAGTTACAAGAGCAGGTGAAAGAGCAGAGGGTGTGCTGCCAGCGCCTGGCTCACCCGGTGGCCTCGGCCCAGAAGGAGCCAGAGGCAGCCAGAGGCCCTGGAGCCCCAGGGCCTGGGGGCGAGTCTGTGAGTGGGGAGACCCACCGGGCCCTGCAGGAAGTCACGGAGAAGCTGGCCCATGCCGGAACTCACCTCCGCCTTCTCCATGACTTGAAAATGCCACCTGAGGGCAGGTCGCTGGCGAGATGTGACCCCATTATTTTGGCTCCAGAGCGGCTTTATGGACCACCTGGAGGAGAAGGCAGACCTGAGTGAGCTGGTGGAGAAAGAAGAACTTGGATTCTTCCAGTACTACAGAGAGAGATGCCATCAGTGAGTGGGAGGCCAGGGCATGGCAGGGGGAGCTGCAGGGCTGTTGGAGGGGCCCCAGCGTCTGAGCCCTGTCCTCCCGCAGGAAAGTTTATCACCCTATAACAAAGCCAGGGGGCAGTGCCAAAGATGCAGCACCGGGAGGAGGACACCATCAGGCTGGCCCTGGACAGGGAGGAGATGAAGGTAGAGTGTGCAACATCTCTGCGGGGGTGGGGGTGGCTGTGACGGTGAGCGCTGGCAGCAGCGTGACAGCTGAGCACCCCTCCCTCCAGGTGAAGCTGCTGGAGCTGCAGGAGATGGTGTTGCAGCTGGTGGCGACTACAAGGGACACAGCAAATTCTTGGTGACTGCCCAGAACCCTGCTCATGAGCCCAGTCCAGGAGCCCCAGCCCCCCAGGAGCTTGGGGCTGCCCACAAGCATGGTGGTGAGTAGAGCCCTCAGGCGGGGTGGGCAGGCAGGAGCAGGGGGGCTCTCACTGAGCTCAGATCCCCGCCTCCCTCTCTCCAAAGATCTTTGTGAGGTGAGCCTCACTGACAGCGTGGAGCCTGTGCAAGGAGAGGCCAGGGAGGGTTCTCCCCACGACAACCCTACTGCACAGCCGATCGTGCAGGACCACCAGGAGCACCCAGGCTTGGGCAGCAACTGCTGTGTGCCATTCTTTTGCTGGGCTTGGCTGCCAAGAAGAAGGAGATAAACATCACCATCGTCAAAGAGCTGCTGAAGAAATTTTTAAAAAAGAAACAAAGTTATGGGGTTAATCTCCTACACAATTCATTTACTTCATTTGAATGTTATAGCCACTTATGATTATTTGTGTTTCTAATTTATAGTTTAAGTTCATTTGTAAATAGTTAAAAGAGAGTGGGTCTCTGTGGCTTTCACTGATGTTCACTCTGGCATACTTTCGCAATTTTCTTTTTCAATTTCATAATTGTAGGTCATTAGCATGCATATTGAGTTTGCCCTTACGTGGTGGGAGTTCAAACACACAAAGACCCACTATTTGCACAAAACTATTCTTGCTGGTTTGGAATAGGCTGCCATGTGTTTTTAATGTTATTGCAGCATGTATATTCATTACAGAATTCAGATAAAATGTGCCTATGTTCTGCTGTTGTTTGATCTAATCTTAATCACAGTGAGCTCTTCATTAGCACAATATGTGGTTTGCCCCAAGTGTGCACTATTTAATACTTTGTAATATGCCACCAAGAGTACTGACATTTAGAGTTGTTTAAAGGCCGAGAACTGGAAACAGCCTTTTCCTCATTTTCTGTGTATTGGTGATGGGAGTAATAACATTTTGGGGGAGCTTTTTAAATTTCACAGAAGAGGAAAGTTGCCTGCTCTGGCAGGTATGTGCAAGATAGAGTGTGTTTCATTTGTTCTGTTGCCAAGAATTAGTGCTGTACTATTGTAGTTCCTTTAGGATTTGTATGTGCTCTGGGCTCATGAAGATATTGCATCATGAGCTTCAGCAGTTGTACTCTTTTTTGATGACCTAAAAAGGGCTTATTTCTGAGGAATGAAAGGTTCCCATCATTGACTACGGTTGTGGAAAACCTTTCCTAGCTTAGAGCATTTGTATCTATATTTTAAAGTCAGAGTTCATGTTACCTGTTTTAATCACATGACTGCATGTCCCAGTACACAAAAGGGCACTGGTTGGCATTCTTCTTAATGTATTTAGTAAAGATCATAAGAAATCCTTTAAGAGTTCAAATGTCCCTGGAACAGGCATACAGGCTCTAGTCAAGAATGAATTAGAGTGAAGGAAAGCTGTGTGACACCTGGCATTCCTCTGTTCATGGAGCTTCTTTGAGGCTTGAAGATTGATTTTACCATCTAGACCACTCTGCCTATTCTTCAACCACCTTGGTTACTTTGACATAGGAATTGACTTCTTTTCCTTGAATGGAAAACACTTTGAAATAATAATAAACATTGTTATAAACTAATATATGTGAGAGTGCTTAGTTGAAACAAAAAGGAGTTTTAGTAGACAGTATTATACTATCTTTGAAAATCAAGGAGAAGTTTATGCAACTTAAAATGTGTACAAACTGCAGTGCAATCTACTGTTGGTGAATGTCAGTGTATTATCAGGAAACATGTCTATACAATCACAGAGTTATATTTCCTCACAAACTTCTTTGTGAAGAGTGAAATGTGTTTCTGTACCTCTGGGTTTCACTTACGGGCATATTTTGTGCAGTATTTATGTGATTGTGCCTATGCATGATGAATGAATGAATTTCAGTTGTACATTGCCTAAATCATAACTTGATGATGCTTGGGAAAGACTCAACAGTTAAAACTTCATGAAGTTCTAATGTCTGTGTTCCAAAACACATCACATTATTAGGATGTAGGGAGATATGTATGTGTGCTCCCTGGGGTGGGGATTTCTAGTTACTAGACCATCTCCATTTTTAGCATTTGGCATCCTCATGATACTTTTATAAATACGACATTAACAGGAGAGCAGCAGTACGATTTTGCCGATGGAATAACAGATTTGCCGGCAATCACTGAAAGAGTGCAAACATCGGGTCCTTGTGACTTCAACGGACTCTTCCAAATTGTATGAATGTATCAATGTATTAGATAAACCCAGTTTCAGAATGATAAAGAAAAAATGTTAGACCAAATAATGCGGCTAGTTAACAGTGGTACGATTTCTCGCCCGTGGCTTTAAAATGCACTTAAAGTCCTGTCCTTGCCTTTTATTTTCTGAACTTGATGTTTTTGCATTCTTTGAGTTCAGTTTAAAGACAACTACGAGCATCTGTAACCAATCTGACAATAATGTGTTCATCAGGTGCCTGTGGATTAAATCACATACTGGCATATTTAAGCTGAATGTCAATCTGGAAAATAAATTGACTGTATTAACGGAAATACCACTCTTTGTGTAGATATTTGTCGTATATTGAAGAAAAAGCTAAAAAGAATGGAAATCGCATGACTATAACTTAAGTCTTTCTTCAAAGTGCATGCAGTCTTTTGCGATACCTCATTCAGCCAAGTATTGGTATTCTTCCTCATTCGGTATAAGGCAGCTTTCAATTTGCTTAGAGGGCAACATTGGAAGGTTAGAGTTCATCAGAAACAGAATTCTAAAATGTGAGTTCAATTCAATAAATTTGAATTTCTGTAGGAAGAATCAAATCACCGATTTAAAGATTGCAATATATAATAATCATTTTTAAAGTATTGGATTAAATCTGATAGGTTTTCCAGAAATGAACAAAAATCAGCTCTAAAACCAAAGCTGATTTTTAGAAAATTTGAAAATGTAAATCAGCCCTATCCATACTATAGTTTCTCTAAAACTTTATCTGAAAGAGTCATTTTAAAATAACTATTAAACAATGTAACTGCTATCTTAATGTTCTGAAATAAGTTAAAACATTTTAAAATATGAATACTGTAAAGGAAATAAACGGTGGGAAGGAAAAGTAGAGAAAGAAATGCCAATTCCAGTCCAAAGCTTTATTTGCCAAGTTTTCTTAGAATGAATTTTACCAATTTATGAATTCTTGTAAGCGGAATGTAAAACGGAAATACTGAAAGACTTTTGCCTAAAGTGGCATTATTGACTGCTGGTGTGATGCTACTGTAATGTAATAAATTATTAAGTTGTTGCAAAGTGCTGTTTTTGCCTTAAAATTTTATTCTGTGTGTCTTGAAAAATATAGTATTAAAGGTATTGATACTGTGCAAATGCTGAGCATGCTTGGCATGAGATAATGTTTCATTTTTACAAAATTGTAATATAACTATGCAAGGGTTTATTAAAAGAACACAAAATAAAAAAGTTATGGGATTAACAAAAGTTATGGGGTGAAAAAGTTATGGGATAAAAAATGTAAAAAAGTTGTGGCAAAAAAATCTTGTGACCAAAAAGTAGAAGAAAGTTTTATGAAAAGTTACCAAAAAAAGTTATGAAAAAGAAGTTATGGGATTTAAAAAAAAAGGCATGGGATAAAAATAAAAATTAAAATTAAAAGCAGGCCCCTGTCAGCAAAGCCTGGAGAAGTGGGGCTGGGGTCTCCACCACCACACTGTCCCTATCTCCCCTTCCCAGTCACCCCTTTACAATTAGGGTAGCAGGACAAGACCTCTGTCTAACGAGGAAAGACAAACAGACCCTTTGCCACCTTGACCAGAGCTGAGTCCTTAAATTTCTGGATGATATTGTTATTTAAGAGCCAGAGGCTGGTGGAGTTGGTTTGTTTGGAGGAGGCCTCATGGCCTCCTTACTCTCACCATAGCAACTTTTCCCTCAGTGGGGGCTCCAATCTTCTTATTCAGAGAGGTAGCTGAGGCAGGACAGTGGGGCTAACTGTGGACCAGGCGAAGGCATGGGCTGCTGGGGTGGCCCCCCTTCCCCGGTGTATATATTGTGTCTGTGTAAGGTTTTGTATATTCCAGAGGGTAGGGCCACCCCTGTATCATACCTAGCGGTGGTTGGAGGTGGCACATGGGGAGGAGGTTCTAATAATTATTTGTGGCTGGGAAACTTACTTATTGCTAGCATAGGACAGAGGAAGAAGGCAGGGATGGGGTCATGGCTTCCCAGTGGTGTGATCACAGTTCACTGCAACCTCCAACTCTCATGCTCAAGTGATCCTCCCACCTCAGCCTCCCAGGTAGCTGGGAGTATAAGCATGCACTACTATGCCTGGCTAATTTTTAAATTTTTTGTAGAGAAAAGGTCTTGCTATGTTGCCCATGCTGGTCTTGAACTCCTGGGCTCAAGCGATTCTCCCATCTTGGCCTCCCAAAGCACTGGGGTTACAGGCATGAGACATTGCTCCTGTCCATAAGATTTTCTCTTTATTACTGTTTTGTTGTTGGTGGTGGTGTTTTGTTTTGTTTTTATTTTTTGACAGAGTCTCGGTCTGTTGCCTAAGCTGGAGTGCAGTGGTGCAATCTCTGCTCACTGCAACCTCCGCCTCCTGGTTCAAGCAATTCTTATGCCTCAGCCTCCCGAGTACCTGGGGTTATAGGCATAAGCCACTGCGCCTGGCTAATTTTTGGATTTTTAGTAGAGACAGAGTTTTGCCATGTTGGCCAGATTGGTCTTCAACTCCTGGCCTTAAGCAATCCGCCCTCCTCAGCCTCCCAAAGTGCTGGGATTACAGGTGTGAGCCACTGCTCCTGGCTAAGATCCCATCTCTATTTAAATAAAAAAAGAAAATTCAGAATCTATGGAACACAGAACACCAAAGGCCAGTTATTTACCTCTCTGAGGTAATCTGTGTAAACAATTTGATATATATCCTTTCAAGTTCATACTTGCTATGCATACATATATATACACACATACATTGACATATTCCCCCTTCCCTGCCGTCATGCTATTAGTCTTCTTTTTTTTGTAGAAATTGGACCAACTCTATGTTCTTTGCTGGCCCGTATTTCTCCTATTCAGTGATGTGTTATGAATATCTGTTTAAGTCAATGTATGCAACTCTTTAATATCATTTTAAAAGGTTACGACATACGATCATATGAAGGCATTAGAATTTATTCCAACAGTTCCCTTTTGCACATTTAATAATTTCCATTGATTTGCCAGGAAGAACATTCTCGTGTCATGGCTAAATCCTTTTGTATGGACATCCTTAATTATTCCCTTAAGATAAACTTTTAAATAAAGTTGCTAGATTAGTCTCGTTTCTTAAGTTCTTTTTTGGTAGTTTATATGTAACACTGTAGTTTTATATGTACTTACAAATACCTATAGTGCCAGTAGAAAATGGGATAAAATTAAACTCTTTCACATATGCCAAATATATTTTGATTTAGCGCTTTATTAAGTGCATGATTACAGTCTCTGTATCTTTTGATTTACCTTTCTATCTTTACAATTTTCAGCCGAGATACTTAGAGGTCACATGATAAATTAAGGTTTTCTTTTTTTAATAATCTCCATCTTTCTAAATATGGTGAGTCACAGTCAGCTATTTTTGGATTGTTGAAAGCTGTGACTGTTCTAAATCGGAGCCCAGAAATCACGCCACTTACCAAATATGCTTTGTCTTCCAACATCAGAGTGTCTGGTAGAAGGTGACTGTTCTTGGAATTTAAAAAATCTGAACAGGACAAGACAAGAATCTGGACACTTTTTCTGTTTCTGATAATATGATTGAGTAGGTAGACATGCTGGATAATCCTTGCAAAGACATACTTGAACTTCCCAAAAAAAAAAAAAATAAAATCCAGAATCTCTAAGAATGAAGATGGAGTGAAAATCAGAAGGGCTGCTGAGAGAATAATGGGGAAGCAGCCCCAGTTATCAAGGGACATGTCCATGTGTTCAATAGAAAGTTTCAGATGTAAAAAAAAGTTGAGAAAAATAATATATATATTATATATAATAAATGATATAATTGCCCTACATATACACATCATCAACAATTTTTCATTCATGGTATGGACAGTTTTTTTTTTTGGTTGTTTTTTGTTTGTTTGTTTGTTTTTAAAGGTGGGATTTTGCTGTGGTTGCCCAGGCTGGAGTGCAGTGGCATGATCTTGGCTCACTGCAACTTCCACCTCCCAGGTTCAAGCGATTCTCCTGCCTCAGCTTCCCGAGTAGCTGGGATTACAGGCACCCGGCACCACATCCGGCTAATTGTTGTATTTTTAGTAGAGATGGTGTTTCACCACGTTGGCCAGGCTGGTCTTGAACTCCTGACCTCAGGTGATCCACCTGCCTCGGTCTCCCAAAGTGCTGAGACTACAGGCGTGAGCCACCACACCTGGCCACAGCCAGTTTTGTTTCATTTATATTCCCACTTCATTTATATACATTCCTTCTTCCTCTGAATTATTTTGAAGTAAAACCTATACATCCTATCATTTTTAATTACCTTATATGTATCTGTAGAAGACAAGGAATTCTTAAAAATAAATATATTCACAATGCCATTAAATATCAAAAAATTAATATTCTGAAAATAGCCACAAATCCAGAGTTGACATTTTGTTGACTTTCTCATAGGTGATTTTTTTTCTAGTTTATCTATTTCAATCAGATAACTGTTTGCTCATATTTACATTCCTTACTGAACAATGTCTAAACTTAAACTGACATAAAATGGAGATGATCTTCTAACCAGATGCTTAGTGTAAGAAAAAACTTCAAACTGCAAGAGGAGTCCCTCCAAATACAGAAAGGACCAGTATTTTAAGAGGTATGTTAACTAAAATGTGGCAATGTAAGGAGCAAAGCAGGAAGAACCTTTAAGTCCTAAACTTACAAGTCAATTTCATAGTCAGTTTCCCTGGTCCTTCCACAACAACCTCCCCCATCTGTTTTCTCTACAATGGAGGTAACAATAGTAGCTATTCCAGAGCAGGAAAAGGCTTAGAGCAGTGCTAGAAGAGGGTCGTGGCTATATAAAGTTTAGCTATTTGTATATTGTAACAAACTAACTTTTTTTGGTCAATAATAGATTTCTGTTGGAAAAGTAGCAGCCTCCTGTCTGGGGACACCTGCAGTTCCACTAAGTGAACATTGGTGTCTGCTAACCTTTGCCTCTATTTCTCTCAATATACTGTGAAGCTGTTCCTGGATTTAGCAATTTTATATACTTCTTTTTATTATTCTTTTTTTCCTTTCCCTTTTCCTGAGACACAGTCCTGCTCTGTCACCCAGTCTGGACTGCAGCAGCGCCATCATGGCTCACTGCCACCTCCACCCCGGGCTCAAGCAATCCTCCTGCATCAGCCTTCAGAGTAGCTGGGACTACCCAGGGGGGCCCACCAGGTCTGGCTAATCTTTGTGGTTTTTGTTTTGTTTTTCCGTTAAGGGACTGGGTTTCCGGCCAGGCACAGTGACTCACGCCTGCAATCGCACCACCCCTGGAGGCCGAGGCCGGCGGATCTCCCCAGGTGAGGAGCAGGAGACCAGCCCGACCAACATGGAGAAACCCCATCTCAACCTAAATAAATAAATAAATAAATAAATAAATAAAAGTAGCCAGGCTTGGTGGCTCACGCCCTTGATCCCAGCCACTCAGGAGGCTGAAGCAGGAGAATCACCCAAACCCGGGAGGCGGAGGCCCGGCGAGCCGAGACCGCGCCACTGCACTCTAGCCTGGGCAACAAGAGGGAAACTCCGTCTCAAAAAAAAAAAAACAGGTTTCACCATGTTGCCCAAGCGGGTCTGGATCTCCTAGGCTCAAGCGATTTGCCACACTCAGCCGTCCAAAATCCTAGGATCACAAGCGTGAGCCATGACGCCAGGCCGATCTATTCCTGTCTGATTAAAAATTGGGCCGGTTGCGGTGGTTCACGCCTGCGATCCCAGCACCCCGGGAGGCTGAGGCGGGCGGATAACCTGAGGTCAGATTGAGGCCAGCCTGAGTAACATGGAGAAACCCCATCTCTACCAAAAAAAAAAAAAAAATTAGCAGGGCATGGTGGCTCACGCTTGCAATCCCAGCCACTCGGGAGGCTGAGCCAGGAGAACCACCCAAACCCGGGAGGCTGAGGCTGCGGGGAGCTGAGACCCTGCCACTGCACTCCAGCCTGGGCAACAAGAGTGAAACTCCCTCTCAAAAAAAAAAAAAGAGAGAGAGAGAGAGACTGAGTTTCACCATGTTGCCCAGGCCGGCGTGTAACTCCTAGGCTCAAGGGATCCGCCGCGCTCGGCCATCGGAAGTCCTGGGATCACAAGCATGAGCCGCCACGCCAGGCCCATCTGTTCCTTTCTGATTAATAAATTGCGCCCGGCGCGGTGGCTCCCTCCTGCAACCCCACCACCCTGGGAGGCCGAGGCGGGCGGATCACCTGAGGTCGGGAGTTTGAGACCAGCCTGACCAACATGGAGAAACCCGTCTCTACCAAAAAAGAAAAAAAAATAAGCTGGGCATGGTGGCTCACGCCTGCAATCCCACCACCCCGGGAGGCCGAAGCAGACGGGTAATCTGAGGTCAGGAGTTTGAGACTACCCTGACGAAGGGAGAAACCCCGTCTATACCAAAAAAAAAAAAAAAAATACAAAAAGAGCCGGGCATGTTGGCTCATGCCTGCAATCTCAGCCACTTGGTAAGCTGAGGCAGGAGAACCACCCAAATCCCGGAAGCGGAGGCCGCGGGGAGCTGAGACCGCGCCACTGCACTCCAACCGGGCAACAAGAGTGAAACTGCCGCAAAAAAAAAAAAAGAAAAAAAAAAAAAAGAGAGCGGGTTTCACCGTGTTGCCCCGGCCTGTCTGGAATTCCTAGGCTCAAGGGATCCCCGGCCCTATTCCTTTCTGATTTATAGATTAGGCCTTGCGCGCTGGCTCACGCTTGCAATCCCAGCACCTCCGGACGCCGAGGCGGGCGGATAACCTGAGGTGGGAAGTTTGAGACCAGCCTTATGAACATGGAGAAACCCCATCTCCAACAATAAAAACAAAAACAAACAAAAAACAAAATGAGCTGGGCATGGTGGCTCACGCGTGCAATCCCAGCCACTCGGGAGGCTGTGGCAGGAGAACCACCCAAACCCTGGAGGCGGAGGCCCGTTGAGCCAAGACCTCACCACTGCACTCCAGCCTGGGCAACAAGAGCGAATCTCCGCCTCAAAACAAACAAAAAGTGACCAGGTTTCACCATGTTACCCAGGCAGGTCTGGAACTCCTAGGCTCAAGCGATCCGCCGCGCTTGCCGTCCAAATTCCTGGGATCACAAGTGTGAGCCACCATGCCAGGCCGATCTAGTCCTTTATGATTAATAAACTGGACCGGGCGCGCTGGCTCACGCCTGCAATCCCAGCATCCCCAGAGGCCGAGGAGGCGGGCAGATAACCTGAGGTCGGGAGTTTGAGACCAGCCTGATGAATATGGAGAAACCCTGCCTGTACCCCCCCCCGCCAAAAAAAAGAGAGACCGGGTTTCACCATGTTGCCCAAGCCGGTGTGGAACTCCTAGGCTCAAGTGATCCCCAGCGCTCGGCCGTCCGACGTCCTGGGATCACAAGCGTGAACCACCACGCCAGGCTGATCTATTCTTTTCTGATTAATCAATTGGGCCTTGCGCGCTGGCTCACGCCTGCAATCCCAGCATCCCCGGAAGCCAAGGCAGGCGGATAACCTGAGGTCCTGAGTTTGAGACCAGCCTGACCAACAGGGAGAAACCCTGTGTGTACCAAAAAAAAAAAAAATTAGCCGGGCATGGTGGCTCACACCTGCAATCTCAGCCACTAGGGAGGCTGAGGCAGGAGAACCACCCAAACCCAAGAGGTGGAGGTGGCAGGGAGCCGAGACTGCACCACTGCACTCCAGCCTGGGCAACAAGAGCAAAACTCTGCCTCCAAAAAAACAAAAAAAAGAGAGAGACCGAGTTCCACCATGTTGCCCAGGCCAGTCTGGATCTCCTAGGCTCAAGTGATCCCCAGTGCTCCATCATCCAAAGTCCCTGGATCACAAGCGTGAGCCACCACGCCAGGCCGATCTATTCCTCTCTGATTAATAAATTAGGCGGGGTGCAGTGGCTCACACCTGCAGTCCTGTAGAGGGATTTTTAAGGAATTAGATAGACTCATGGGGTTTAGGAGGACATTTATTAATTATTTAGGTGCACCGGCCCAGTCGGATTAACATTTAAAGGATTGAGCACTGAACCAAGAGTTACCTTTCAAGCATTATGTGGGGCGAAGGGGGAGATCTGTGCAGGGAGAAGCATATTATAGAAGCGAGAAACAAAGATTGTTATTTAATTGAAACATGCATTATATTATTTTTTACTATTTAAGGAAAAATATGTTTTGTGACTTGAGTTTATTTGTTTAGTGACCTTGTAGTTGCACAGTTAAGGAATTAGTCGGGCATGGTGGCTCACACCGCAATCCCAGCCACTCAGGAGGCTTTGGCAGGAGAACCACCCAAACCCCGGAGACGGAGGTCTGGCAAGCTGAGACCTCGCCACTGCACTCCAGCCTGGACAGCAAGAGCAAATTTCCCCCTAAAAAAAAATATATATGACTGGGTTTCACCATGTTGTCCAGGCCGGTCTGGAACTCCTAGGCTCAAGCAATCTGGCTCTGGATGTCTTTAACTTGTGATTGAAAGCGTATTAAGATGTTGGGTGTATCAACAGTCCGGAGGACAAGAAGGAAAATCCTGGCATGTGAAATATTCTGCAACAAGAAAAGCAATCGGAGAGGTGACTACATTCACTCAGCTGTTTTGCCCTCTTCTTCCCCACCCCCCACCCCCCCGTCTCTTTCCTGGAAGTTCCCTAGTAAGAAGTAAAAGAGATAATGGCTTTCGAGTGCATGTTTTTCCTGGAATTGGAAGGAATTTTAACAAAGGAGCCCTTCACAATGAAACCCCCCCACACCCCTGCTTTTCACCTGAAGTAGGACAAGATCGTCGCCCCCACCATCATTCTCCACGTGACCCCAGGTGGGGATGGGTAGTGGACACTACTGATAAGCTCTCAGCAATTTCCCTATTTGTGGACTCTGAAGCTCCTTAGCTTGACAACTGATGCATAAGTTTTCTTTTGTGGGATAAGAATAGGAGAATAGGTGACCTTTTCCCCCTGAATTCCCATCCTGGGGCCAGGGAAGAGAGCCCAGGATCCCTTCTCTTGGCCTTCACACTGTGGGAAAGAGTACCTAGAGTTAAAAGCCTGATAAATGCCCTCGAACAGCTTTGAAAATCACAAGGTCAGGAGATCGAGGCCATCCTGCCTAACACGGTCAAACCCGTCTCTACTATAAAAAAAAAAAAAAAAAAAAAATACAAAAAATTACCCGGGCATGGTGGTGGGCGCCTGTAGTCCCAGCTACCTACCGGGGAGGCTGAGGCAGGAGAATGGTGTGAACCCGGGAGGGGGACCTTGCAGTGAGCTGAGATCGAACCACTGCACTCCAGCCTGGGCGACAGAGCGAGACTCAGTCTTAAAAACAAACAAACAAAAAAAAAAAGAAAAGAAAAGAAAAGAAAAAAGAAAAATCACTCGGCGTGAGCGCTTGCCCCCTGAACAAATGTCCAAGTGTATCACTATGGGAATGCCTCTTGGGTCACAGACACAGAGGTAATTCTCTTTGTAAATAGATTCATGTCATTTGTCTCGTTTCTGAACAGTTTCAAAAGAATTATTTGGTGAAGTCAGTTTCCTAGGAGAATCCATCACATTTCCCCAGAGGTATTTCCACCCTTGCAAACCATTAGATAAAGAACAGGCCACGCACAGTGGCTCACACCTGTAATCCCAGCACTTTGGGAGGCCAGGCGGGTGGATCATG